>NC_000001.11:246487151-246638667 GCF_000001405.40 Homo sapiens | reverse complement strand
ACCCGCCCACACTATTGAAGCCAATCTGCTCCCCCTAGGAACCACCTCCCAAAAGGCTGAACTCATCACCCTCACTCGAGCTCTCACTCTAGCAGCTGGACAACAAATGAACATATATTCAGATTCTCGTTATGTGTTCCACATAGTGCACTCACACTTGTCCATCTGGAAAGAACGGGGTTTCCTAATTGCAAACAACACTCCTGTCATAAACGGCTCTCTCATCAGCAAGCTCCTTCAGGCTGCCCAGCTCCTGCAGAAAGCTGCCGTCATTCATTGCAGGGGCCACCAAACCCCAGACAATCCTATACGGGCTGGAAACGCACTAGCAGATCAGGCGGCCAAACAAGTAGCCCTACAACCGTGCAAGGCCAGTTTCTGTCCCTGTCCTTATTCTTTCCTCTTTACTCCTCAGAAGAAAAGGAGGACTTCCAGGTCCAGAACCTCCAAAAGCAAGGACCATGGTACATCAAGGAAGGGCGCTTCTCATTCTTCCTCATGCTCAAACAATGCCTATCCTCCAAAGCCTCCACAACTCTTTCCATGTCGGCTACAAACCTCTCTTGCAACTTCTCCACCCTATTCTCACTTGTCCTCACCTTTCCAGCCGCGTTCCAGAGATCATCCAGTCCTGCTGTATCTGCCACTCAGTGTCACCCCAGGGCTCCCTCTGGCCACCGCCTTTTTCTAACCACCAAGCCCAGGGCCAGGTACCTGGGCAAGATTGGCAGGTAGACTTCACTCACCTGATAAATGGCTCCATTACCTTCTAGTCTTTGTCTGTACTTTCTCTGGGTGGGTAGAAGCGTTCCCAACAACTTCAGAAGGTGCAAATGTTGTCATACAAACTCTCATCATGTATACAATTCCCCGTTTCACACTCCATTGGGACATCCATGCAATCCAATAACAGGCCCACCTTCACCAGCCAAATCACCCAAGTTGTCTCCACGTCCTTAGGAATGAAATGGGTTCTCCATGCACCTTACAGGCCTCAATCTTCAGGCAAACTTGAAAACATCAACTCTGTCCTTAAAGCTCAACTCACCAAGCTGGCTCTAGAAACCCACCAGTCGTGGATGAGAAATCTCCCTTACACCCTCATGAGACTCCGTGCAACACCAAAAGCACCCTCTTTTTATAGTCCCTTTGGAATCATGTATGGACGAACTTTTGTCTTAGGGCCTCCGCCATCACCAGACTCTGAGCCACTCGGGAATTACTTACCCTCCTTAATCCAGACATGGTCTTTCATTTGTGAAGCAGCGAATGAGGCCATGCCTCTCCCTGCCGACACCTCCTTGTCCTCTCAACATAACTGTCTTGCAGGCACAGACGTGTTTATTGGCCAACCTGATCCTCACAAAAAGCTACAACCAAAGTGGACAGGCCCCTACGCTGTGATACTCAGCATGCACACTAACAGCATGAGAGTCCAAGGACTCCCCAACTGGGTCCATCGTACCAGGGTCAAGCTCACCCCAAAGGCTACTTCTTCCTCCAAAACATTAACAGATAAGTGGTTGTCCAGGCCAGTTTCTTCTACCAAGCTGAAATTAACCAAAAAATTTTCTTTTTCTTAAAACCAAAACACGAGGAAGACTAAACACCTGCTTCCAGAGATGGCCTGTATCTACCCAATCCGATGCTGTGCCTCACTTCCAACCAAAAGTCTTAATACGGGAATATCCCTCACCACGATCCTTATACGGTCAGTAGCCGCCCTGCTGCCCACAGCAGCCCTTCAGAGCTGCTGTGAGTGTTATCAGTCTTTCCACCACAGAGGAAAGATGCAACAATCCTTCACTCACCATACTCATGTCAACAGTCCTTCACTCACCATAGTCATATAGAAAGATCCTATTGTGGAACCTTAGTCGAGGAATGTGTTGAATCAGGAAAGAGTTATTATAAAGTAAAAAATCTAGGAGTATCTGGCAGTCATAATGGGGCTACATGTCCAAAAGGGAAACAGTGGCTTTGCTTCACCAAAATTGGACAATGGGGAGCAAACGCTCAAGTGCTCGAAGACAGAAAGAGAGAATGGATTATAGCCAAAGCAAAAGTCTCAAAACCAACAACTACCCCTGAAAATCACCCGTGGTATTTCCATCCCTTTACACAAAAACCATAAGCAGACGTATCCCCTCCCTAGCCAGGAAAAAACCGGTTTGTAGATCTAGGAGAGGGCATCGCGCTTACCACGAATGTGTCCAATTGCTGGGTATGCGGGGGAGCCCGCAGGAGTGAACAGTGGCCGTGGCATGGGATAGACCTTCCCCCTTAATTACTAGCATTTCAAAACCCCAGCCTCACTTTGAATTCTCAGGAACGCCCGTCGACCTGGACACTTACCAACCCAGTAAGAGGGACGGCGTGCATATCCCGCAAGTGGACTGATAAAACCCATCGTGCCGCAGGTGAAAGCCCCTGTCACCAAACCCTAACAGTCAACGCCTCCACAGCCGAGTGGTGGCCAAGGTTACCCCCTGGAGCCTGGTCTCCCTCTAACTTCAGCTACCTCAATTGTGTCTTGTCAAAAAAGGCCTGGAACTGTACAAACACCACTAACTCTTCTGCCGCATACCCCTGCCTAAGTGCACTATGCGACAATCCTAGGAACACCAGCTGACGATGGACTGCCCCGATGGATTCCTTTGGATATGGGGAACCCAGGCTTACTCACGGCTACCTTAGCACTAGCTTCCTATGCACAATTCAACCTGGATTCGTTTTACTTCCAAAGCAGGCGGGCAACACCCTCGGAGTCCCTGCGTATGATAACCAGAGAAAAACGGTCCTTAAAGGCAGGAGGAAGCCAAAGACCGTGAGAGGACGAGTGGCCTCCGCAATGGATCATCGAATATTACGGTCCTGCCACCTGGGCTGAGGATGGTTCACGGGGTTATCGCACTCCCACATATATGCTAAATAGAATAATTAGACTAAAGGCTGCTCTAGAGATAATCACTAACCAAACCGCCCCAGCGCTGGAAATGCTCGCGTGACAACAAAACCAAATGCACCCAGCAATTTATCAAAACAGGCTGGCTCTAGACTACTTATTAGCAGAAGAGGGTGCGGTCTGTGGTAAGTTTAACATCTCCAATTGCTGTCTTAACATAGACGATAATGGAAAAGCGGTTCTAGAAATCGCTTCAAACATCAGAAAAGTAGCCCGTGTACCAGTCCAAACCTGGAAGGGATGGGACCCAACAAACCTTCTAGGAGGGTGGTTCTCTAATTTAGGGGGATTTAAAACGCTGGTAGGGACAGTAATCTTCATCATTGGGGTCCTCCTGTTTCTCCCCTGTGGTATCCCACTGATAATAAAAGCCATTAAAACTCTTGTTGAAACTACAGTTAATCGCCAGACAATCCAGACGATGCTCCTGCTACAACGACACGATGGATACCAACCCGACTCTCAAGAATACGCCAAAATTTTTTCTTTTTTTCCGAGGTGCCCACGCCACCCTCTATGTCACACCTGAAGTAGTTATGGAGAAAGTTGCCCCTTTTCCCTTTTTCTATAACCAAATAGGAATGAAAGATTCTCCCCAGGGCCGAAAGCTTGGGGGGATGAATAACTCCTCCCTCCTCAGACCCAGTCCCAAGGCGCGAGGCCACTTGCACCAGCAGCGCGCGTCAGCGAGAAGCAGAAGCAGGAAGAGGGCCGGCCGGAAGACACGCACCCCGGCCGGAAGACACGCACCACCGAGGATAGACAGAGAGGCCATCCAGGTACCACGTAGCCGTTACATCAGACAGGGACACTTCCTGTTTACAGGAGACTGTAAAACCCCTGCCCCGTCCTCACGTGGCGCTGACGCCATTTTAGGCCTCAGCCCGTCTGCACCCAGGTGCTCATTAAAACAGCGTGATGCTCCACACCGCCTTGTGCTGTCTGTTGGCGCGCTCCCGGGGTTCGAACCAATACTAGAGCCTTGCAATAATTATATTATATCCATCTTAATTTCTCCAGTTGAAAACATAAAACAAAGAAATGGATACTCAATGCTATAATGCTTCTTCAATATTCTACTCCAACTCATTCTAACGAAATTCTGATATACTTACTCTTGATGTGTTGCACAAATTTTCGTAAGCCGTTCAAAATCTTCACCATTAAATCCCTTTTCTGAATTCCTTAGAGCCGTAACTGTATGTGGTTGCACAGTTTTCCATTTTGTTTCTAAATTTAAAGTATTTGTTAGTCACTGGCTCTTATAAAACATATTTAGGAGCAAAAAAACAAACAAACAGTTAACTAGCACCACTCATAAAGATTTGCATGCAAAATTATCTTTTCAAACAACCCAACAGTTAGAAATAACTAACTTATTACTTTTCAATATAAGTAAATATCATCCTAGAGACTAAATTAGCCAGTAGGGCATGAAATGTGATTAGGAAAAATGCAAATAGTTGCAAGTATTCTTTTCTTGGCATTGATATGAAGAGCAAAATACAAAGAAAAAAGTCTTCTCACAATATAATAGACTTGTGGTAAAAATGCTACTTTCTTTGCAACATTAACTTGTTTATGGAAACATCTATTTTCTGATTTATAAAACCAGGTCAAATATGTTAATTTTGTAGATAGTGACTTGTTGGATTACTGCTAATTCCACATTCCATGTTGGTCTGTACTTACCCCACTGTTCTTGAATGGCAGAAAGATTTGCGAGCAATTGCTCATGATACAATCGTTCTAGCTGAATGAATTTCATTGCTTTCTCATCTGAATAGAACATTTAAGGAAAATAGAAATCCACACTATTTACATTATTCCCATATTTGAAGAACAATGTCCTATAGATGTTGAGAAATTTGCAGCTTACTAAAACATGAGAGGACTCTAAATATTTTTAAATTTAAACATATCTAAAGTAATGTTTCTCTCTTTTTTTTTTTTTTTCCTTGAGATGGAATCTTGCTCTGTAGTCCAGGCTGGAGTGCAGTGGGGCAATCTCAGCTCACTACAACCTCCACCTCCCGGGTTCAAGCGATTCTCCTGCCTCAGCCTCCCAGGTAGCTGAGACTACAGGCGCCTACCACTGCGCCTGGCTGATTTTTTTGTATTTTTAGTAGAGACGGGGTTTCACCATGTGAGCCAGGCTCGTCTCGAACTCCTCACCTCGTGATCTGCCTGCCTCGGCCTCCCAAAGTGCTGGGATTACAGGCATGAATCACTGCGTCCAGCTTTTTTTTTTTTTGAGACACAGTCTCCCTCTGTCACCGAGGCTGGAGTGCAGTGGTGCCACCTTGGCTTATTGCAACCTCCCCCTCCTGGATTCAAGTGATTCTCCTGCCTCAGCCTCCAGAGTAGCTGGGATTACAGGCATGCACCATCATGCCCGGCTCCTTTTTGTATTTTTGTCAAGATGGGGTTTCACCACGTTGGCCAGGCTGGTTTTGAACTCCTGACCTCAAGCGATCTGCCTGCCTCAGCCTCCCAAATTGCTGGGATTACAGGTGTGAGCCACTGCGCCCAGCCTAGTAATGTTTCTTGGTTTTGAAGTAGGTAAATTTTAATGTGGCATATTATGCAATAGCTACTTGGATTCCACACTATCGGCAAACAGAAACTAAAAGAAGGTTTTAATGCTCAAGGAATGTCTGCTGCGGAGTCAACTAAAAGTAATTTAAGGAAACAGGACCACATGGAATCCTGGAATCTACATGTTTCCCTTTTTTATTTCTCTCCTTACTTTCTGTCAAAGAACTATGTGACTCTCTGGTCAAGTGTTTCTGTTTCAAGTCACCTTGATCCTTATTATTTCCCACTGAATGCTTTTCTCCCACAAGACCAAAGGATCACATGCCTAAACAATGACAGGGCAAAAACTTATATGGGTCTTTTGTAAACACTCAATTAACTTGCCACAGTGATTTCCATTATTATCACGTGATTCTACTTCTTTGTAAATGATCCTGTGAGCTTTAGCCTTCTCATTTGTATCACACAGATCTGCATCTTGTGAGGTCAGGATACACTGTCCAACTGCCTACCTTCCTCTGGGCAATGCTCTAAATGCTGACCCAGAAAAAAGGAAGAGAAAAACTCACTGTTCAGCTTTTTGTCTTCATGATCACTCAGAAGTTCTCTCTCTCTCGCTTGCTACCAAGCTAGCTTTGAGATTTACTGCTTTTGGTCAAAATACACTCTTCCACTAATGCCTTCTTCCAGCTGGCTGTCTTCTTGCCTGCCCTATGTCGTAAAATGGGGGTCCCTTACTGCATTATCCAAGGGGAAGGCAAGACTGGGCTGTCTAGTCCAGGACCAATTACAACGACAGATACGACGAGATTCACCATCACGGGGGCGGCAATGTCCCGGGTCCCAAGTCTGTGGCGCACGTTGCCAAGCTCAAAAAGGCAAAGGCTAAAGAACATGCCGCTAAACTGGGTTAAATGTACACTGTTGAGTGTTCTGTACATAAAAATAATTAAAATAATACAAATTTTCCTTCAAAAAATAAATACAAATACTTATTTTAGTAAAATTAAGGCCTATTTATGAAGGTAAACTTTGGATGGTTCTAGGAAATTTTGTGAAGAGACAGAAATTTCCTACATTTTGCTTTCTGAGGTGGTTACACGGGTACATACAACTGTCAAAACCACTGAAACCATATGATCTGTACATTCTATTACATGTAAAATATACTTCAATTAAAAAAAATGAATGGTTCTGTAAGAGTTCTAAAAATTTCTTCCTGTAATTAAGAAAAGGATACAGTCCTCCTCCTGGAAATAGGATTCTGCTATCTGTTAAAAACAAAGAAAACACAGAGAAAATTAAATTAACACTTGGATGAGAAGATAAATTTGAAACAAATTAAGATCTTGAAATTCCAAATGTTTTTGATATCAAATTAAGAAAACTCTTTTTTTAAACTACATTCAACAGTTCAGAAGAAATCTGACTGTAGGCACAGGATGCAATTCTGAAGTTACTCATCTCAAGCAAAGCAGAGACGTTCTTTGGTGTTTACACATCATTCTTCCTACTCTACCTCAAGTCAAAGTAGATTTCCCTGATTCATTAGAGTTTAGGACTCTAAAGAATGAGAAAAATGTTAGAGACTTACAAAAATAGAACACAAATGAAAAAATGATTGTTTATTGTAAATTAAAAGTAGAAATATTCCTTTCAAATGCTGTGAAGCAAACATAAATAAATAATTAATAAAAAGAAAAAGCAGAAATATGTCAAGTCACCTGAGACCTCAACATCCTATTGATTTCATTCCTGTTTCACAAACCACCGGCTGAGGACCTCACAGGACACTGACTTTTTGGTCTGGTCTGATAGTTAAGAAAAGGCCAGGCTGAGCACTAACAGTTGATTAATATTGTTTAGAATATGTACAAAGTGCTACATATGGTAAAGAACACTAGATAAAGAGATCCAAGACTCAGGAGCTGGTCTCAGTTCAGGCTTGTCAGTTATCAGATTCATTCTAAGACATCTTTACATTTAAAGATTCTTTGATTCTAAAAACTTTGGGATATTTTTAGATCTTTATTTAGATATGACATTTATGAACAGATCACTAAAACTAAAAATATTCACTGAAATATTGCATAAACTCTGTATTCTTAAAACAGTTTCCAGCCGGGCATGGTGGCTCACGCCTGTAATCCCAGCGCTTTGGGAGGCTGAGGTGGGTGGATCATCTGAGGTCAAGGGTTCAAGACCAGCCTGACCAACACGGTGAAACCCCATCTCTACTAAAAATACAAAAATTAGCCAGGCATGGTGTCTCATGCCTGTAATCCCAGTTACTCTGGAGGCTGAGGCAGAAGAATCGCTTGAACCTGGGAGGTGGAGGTTGCAGTGAGCCGAGATCATGCCATTGCACTCCAGCCTGGGCAACAAGAGCAAAACTCTGTCTCAAAAAAAAACCAAAACAAACCAAAACAAAAAATGGTTTCCACAGATTGTCTCTAGTAAAAAAAGGTATAACCTTTATACATCACTATCTCCGTTTTCCAGGTAAATTGACGATGCAAAGAGTAATTAAAGTACTTGTCAAACCTATAAGCTAGCAATAAAAAGGAATGGATTTTCCCAAATCCCTCAGGGGAAACAGCATACTTTTAAAGGAAAATACTTGCCTAGTTTAAATCCTACAAATGTGACATTTTTTCCATGAGCCATGTAGATGACTGACTCAGTCATCTCTATAAATGATTAGTTTTCAGTTAATATAAAGTTTGATTCCATATTTATGTTATATTAAAGATTTTGCAAGGGACAAACTGATTTTTAAGAATCTGGTTATCTTTTACCAGCTTATTGTTCTAATAATATGTTTTAAAAGTAGTATGAACCAAGTCAAACTGCCAATCTTCAACCATTTCTTTAGCTTACAAAATGAGAATTTCATATAATGGTGTAACCAGCAGTGTGCTAATATTTAACAGTCGTCTCCAGAGTGTTGGGGAGAGCCCCAACTTGCAGTGTTTGCTCATTTCAGTGGTGTCAATACTCCCACCATGGCCGATGTCAAGCTACCAATGTGATGGACGTCAGTAAACATGGTTCTCATATGTCAGTACTAGCAGGTTCCAGCATATGAGGGGGTTACACCTAATTGAAATCAATGATGACATTTCAACTGCAGAGCCGGGCATGGCAGCTCATGCTTATAATCCCAGCACTTTGAGAGACCGAAGCAGGCAGATAATTTGAGTTCAGGAGTTCGACACCAGCTTGGCCAACATGGCGAAATACTGTCTCTACTAAAAACACAAAAATTAGCTGGGTGTGGTGGTGTGCACCTGTATTCCCAGCTACTTGGGAGGCTGAGGCAGAAGAATCACTTGAACCTGGGAGGTAGAGGTTGCAGTGAGCCGAAATTGCGCCACTGCATTCCAGCCTGGGTGACAGTGTGAAACTCTGTCTCAAAAAAACAAAGAAAAAAAAATTTCAAGTACAAACTTCCAGTGAAAACATCTATGGTATTGCACAGTTTCCTTTCTATATATGGTATGAGATATAGTTTCAGGTTGCCCATTAAAATAAAATGTCTGGCTCTTCAAAGCCATTTTTCCTGCCTTTTTGCATTTGTGCAAAATTGGCACATGGTTACTTATAAATAGCTCTTATTTGAGGAGTTTTGATGGGGTCCATAACTATTATGTCACCAGATTTCCTGGCACTGCAGAAATTAGCTTGCAGGCTTCTGTAGCAGTTCTAATACCATAAAGTAACTATGCAGAGAAGGTTATGAAACCCAGTGCCTCAAAAGTAAAATTTCCAGGTAAAAAGTCATCTTGAGAAATAAATATACAAAGTATTTCCCCTTTAAAAATCTCCCCCTTGCAAGTCTAGCAGGAAGAGAAGATGTGACTTTTTTTTAAAGCATATTTCTAAATCTGAAAGCTAGCCCAGTAGAGCAGAAAGAACATGGGGTTGGAGGTGAATGGCCTGTGTTTTAGTCCAAGCCCTGCCACTTACCAGCTGTGTGGCCCTGGACACGTCATTTCGCATCTCAAGCCTCAACTTTCTTATCTTAAAACAGGGACAGTAATACCTGCAGCTGTATAAAACAAGGCTGCCATAAGGATTGAAAGAGAGATTGTGTTTGCTGCCCAGGTACAGGAAGCAAATGAAAATAAATAAATAAATACAAATAAAAAAAACAGAGAGACTATGTATCTAGCATAATGCCCAGCACACTACAGTAAGTGCTTAAAATGGTTTTTGAGTCTGATTTGGAATGAATTGCAAGATGCTGAGTGGAATCATGTGAAAAAGGTGAAAACTGCTGGGAAGGCAACAGGTGTAAGGTGATCCTGGTTATCCTTTTACCAATCAGGAACGCTCTAAAAAAAGACACTGTGAAGGGCCATGGCCTCAATCTTTGTGTCCCCCTCACAAATTCATATGTTGAAACCGAGTTCCCAGGGGATAGTGTGAAGAAGGGGGTATCTGGGAGGTGATTAGGTCACGGGGGCTCTGCCCTCATGAATGGGATTAGTGCCCTTACAAAAGAGGCCCAAGGGAGGGCCCGATTTTCTATATGAAACCTGCCAAGCATATGACTTCAGTTAAACATTTAAAGCTAATCTGTAGTCATATTAACTAAGTCAGTGTAAAAAAGACCACTCATACCTAAGAACAAGAACTTTAAAACAGAACTTTTAAGAGTTCCACGAGCTCAAAATACAAGTATATGTTGTCGTATTTCCATTGGCCTTTAGCACATATTATTCTATATATTATATATCACTTTTTAAATCACAATTTTCCTAAAATTAGTTCTCACACTCGAATACCTTATTTCTGTTAATGGTCCTACAGTCATCTCTGATTTCTCCTTTATTCTCTTTTTACAATTGTGATGGTTAATACTGAGTGTCAACGTGATTGGATTGAAGGATACAAAGTATTGATCCTGGGTGTGTCTGTGAGGGTGTTGCCAAAAGAGATCAACATTTGAGTCAGTGGGCTGGGGAAGGCAGACCCCCTTTTAAACTGGTGGACACCATCTAATCAGCTGCCAGGGAATATAAAGCAGGCAGAAAAACATGAAAAAGAGAGACAGGCCTAGCCTCCCAGCCCACATCTTTCTCGCGTGCTGGATGTTTCCTGCCCTCGACCATCAGACTCCAAATTCTTCAGTTTTGGGACTTAGCTCGGCTCTCCTTGCTCCTCAGCTTGCAGACAGCCTATTGTGGGACTTTGTGATCATGCGAGTTAATACTTAATAAACTCCCCTTTATATATATAAATATATATAGGATATATATAAATATCCTATGAGTTCTGTCCCTCTAAGAGAACCCTGACTAATACAACAATCTATACCAAGTCCTAGTTATTCTTCCTTCCAAAGATCTCACATCCATCCCTCTCCATTTCCACTGTCACCACTTTAGCCTAGATGCTTTCATTACCTTATGCCTGAATTATGTCTTCTTTTAGTTCTTATTTTCATCCAAATTTTACATGTCTATGCTTTAAGGAGTCAAATACTTCTACAAACAGGAAAATGATAGAAAAGCCTCTCCCCAGACTCTTGTGATCCACTCGAAACAGGACTGGTTACCCTCTCCTTCCTGGCATACAGCTGTCATCTTAAAATCTCCCTTTGCTTAGATTCCCTTCACCTCTGTCCTGAGTAGGATTCCCAGTTTCCTGTATCTCACACCTTCCTGTTTCTTGGTTTACTCCCTTGTTTTGCTGGAGCACATCACCTAGTGGCTTCCTGAGAAGGAGTAGATAGGAGATACCAGAGGACCTGAAGTGGGAACATCCTTGGTATATCTGAGAAGCTGTCAGAAGGCCAGTGAACCTGGAAAGGAGTGAGTTAAGGAGAATTTTAGCAATGAAGATCCAGGAGGCTAACAGGACAAGATCATGTAGGGCCTTGTAGGCCACGGTAAGGATTTTGGCTTTTATTCTAAATGAGAAGGGAAGCCATCGGAGGGCTTTGCACAGTGGAGTGACAAGATCTGACTTATGTTTTATCTGCATCACAGTGACGGTCATGTAGAGAGAAAGCACTAAGTGGAAGGGAGAGTGAAGGCAGAAAAGTCTCTATAGTGAGAAATTTATTGCAAGAATCTGGGTGAGATTTGATGGTATCCTGTACGGAAATGGTAGCAGTGAAAGAGGTAAGAAGTTCTGGGTATATTTTGAAGTAGATCTGCAGGACTTGCTGTTGGATTGGATTTGGATGCAGGGAAAAGTAAATAAAGTATCACTTCAAGGCATTTGGTCTCAGCAACTAGAGGGACGAAGTTGGCATTTAACAAGAGAGGTAAGACTAGGAAAGCAGCAGATACGGGAGAAAATCAAAGTTTGAGTTTGTACATCTTAAGTTTGAAATGCCCATGAGACATCTTGAGTTGCTGGATAGTTAAGTCTGGAGTTCAGAAAAGAAATAGGACAGGCCGGGCACAGTGGCTCACACCTGTAATCCCAGCACTTTGGGAGGCTGAGGCGGGCGGACCACCTGAGGTCAGGAGTTTGAGACCAGCCTGGCCAACATGATGAAACCCCGTCTCTGCTAAAAATTTAAAAATTAGCCAGGTGTGGTGGCACGTGCCTGTAATCCCAGCTACTTGTGGAGCTGAGACAGGAGATCACCTGAACTCGGGAAGCGGAGGTTGTAGTGAGCCAAGATTGTGCCACTGCACTCCAGCCTGGGCGACACAGTGAGACTCCGTCTCAAAAAAAAAAAAAAAAAAAAAAAAGGACAAACCTACAGGATTGGATGAAAACACCAGGAAGTGAATTCAGAATGAGAAGAGATTCAAGAACTGAACTCTGACGCATCCCAGTGTTTAAAAATTAGGGCTGGGTGCAGTGGCTCATGCCTGAAATCCCAACACTTTGGGACACCAAGGTGGGAAGATCACTTGAGGCCAGGAATTCGAGACCAGCCTGGGCAACATGGTGAAACCCCGTCTCTACAAAAAAATAAAAAAATTAGCTGGGCACGGTGGCATGCGCCTGCAGTCCCAGCCACTTGAGAAGCTGAGGCAGGAAGACTACTTGAACCCGTGAGGTGGAGGCTGCAGTGAGCCGTGATGATGCCACTGCACTCCAGCCTGGTGACAGAGTGGGAAAAAAAAAAAAGGAAAATATGGGAACTCAGAAAATGAGCCGGAGAAGGCATGGCCAAGTGATGTAAGAGGTAAAAGCCAAGAAAAGAGCTCCCAAAGGCAAATAAACAAAACGCTTCAAAACAGAGTATGTGATCAACTTGACGTTTCCAATAGCTCCAGTGAGATGAAAACTGAGGTCTGACCACCGGATTTAACAACATGGAAATCACTGGTGACTTTTACAGTGCAATTTTGGGGGAGTGGTGGGAACAAAAACCAGATTAGAATCAGTTCAAGAGAGAATTGGGTATGGAATGTTACCTAAGTAAATTCTTGCCCAGAATGTTTAACCTGAATCAAATCTTAAAGAAATAATTAGGCCGGGCGCAGTGGCTCACACCTGTAATCCCAGCACTTTGGGAGGCCGAGGCGGGCGGATCGTGAGGTCAAGAGATCGAGACCCTCCTGGCCAACATGGTGAAACCTTGTCTCTACTAAAAATACAAAAATTAGCTGGGCGTGGTGGCACGGGCCTGTAGTCCCAGCTACTCAGGAGGCTGAGGCAGGAGAATTGCTTGAACCCGGGAGGTGGAGGTTACAGTGGGCCAAGATCACGCCACTGCACTCCAGCCTGGGTGACAGAGCAAGACCCCATCTCAAAAAAAAAAAAAAAAAAAAAAAAAGAAAGAAATAATTAGACAAATCCTGATTATGGGACATTCTACATGAATTCTTAGACTGTTCATAAATGTCAGTGTGAAAGAAAGAAAGGGGCGGAGAAAGACTGATACAGATAGAAAGGCTGGGAGCATTCTGGATTACAGGAGACTAAAGAATACTGACAGTTGAATGCAATATGCCATCCTGCACTGAATCCTGCACTGGGGGAAAACAGTTGCACAGAACATTTGTGGAACTACTTGGGGGAAATTTGAATATGGATTGTATATTAAATAATTTTATTGCATCAGTGACTCATTTCTTGGGGTTGATAATGGCCTTGTATGTTATGTAGGAGAGTATCCTTCTTCTTGGGAGATTTATGTACAAATATTTAGGGGTGAAGTGTCATAATGCAAATTACTTTCAACTGTTTCAATGGAAAAAATACGTGTGTGTGCACGAGAGAGAGCAAGAGCAAAAAGGCCAGGCGTGGTGGCTCACGCCTGTAATCCCAGCACTTTGGGAGGTCAAGGCGGGTGGATCACCTGAGATCAGGAGTTAAAGACCAGCCCGGGCAACATGGTGAAACCCCATCTCTACTAAAAATACAAAAATTAGCTGGGCGCAGTGGCACATGCCTATAGCCCCAGCTAAAAAACAGAGCAAAAATTTGATAAAAATGTCAACAACTGGCAAATCTAGGTGAAATATACCATGTGATGTGCTGGGAATTACTAAAATGAATAAAATATATCTCCATCCCTCCCTGATTTGTGTGTCCCTTGGGAGGTGACAGGATATTCTGTCTTCTTGGGCTGAGGAGGCAGCCATCAACCGAATCTTGTCACCCTGACGTCTCAGCTTTCTAATGGCATCAGTATTTCTTTGCTGATCCCCAGACTTGATTTCCAATGAGCAATCTCTGAATTAGTGACAGTAGGAATAGAGTTTAAATGTTTAATATTTCTTTGGCTTTTACTGTACGTCAAACATATGTTAAGTGCTTTTACATGCATTATCCCATTTAATCCTCTATTACTTTACAACAGGAGAAACCAAAAGCCACTTAGCTTGTGGTAGGGCCAAAGCCCATACTTTTAAACCACCACCGTATTCTCTAACCTTCTTTCCCAGGAGAGAAAAGATTGCCGTGCAATCCACTGTTCAAATGCAGTGAAAGCTGAGTGATTAGAAAGCTGCCTTGATGTTGGTGCTACTCAACAATGGTGAGTTCGTGACAGCTTAGAGGCCAGGAGTATACATTTCCTCAAAGGCATTCTTCAAGTTCGTAAAGGAGATAATACAAATTTGTAAAAGTATACATTTTCCTGAATTGGGACAAAACCTATTGAACTTTTTGTTTGTCTATTTTTAGATGGGGTCTTCCTCTGTTACCCAGGCTGGAGTGCAGTGATGGAATCACGGCTCATTGCAGCCTCAAACTCCTGGGCTCATGCAATCCTCCCACCTTAGCGTCCTGAGTAGCTGGGATTACAGGCGCACGCCACCGTGCCTGGCTACATTTTTTTTTTTTTTGTAGAGACAAGGTTTCATGATGTTGCCTAGGCTAGACTTGAACTCCTGGGCTCAAGCAATCTGCCTGCCTCGACCTCCCAGAGTGCTGCATTACAGGTATGAGCTACCGCGCCTGGCCCTATTTTCCCTTTTTTTTTGAGACAGAGTCTCACTCTGTCACCCAGGCTGGAGTGCAGTGGTGCGATCTCCGCCCACTGCAACCTCCGCCTCCTGGGTTCAAGCAATTCTTCTGCCTCAGCCTCTCGAGTAGCTGGGACTACAGGCGCGTGCCACCATGCCTGGTTAATTTTTTTGTGTGTGTATATTTTTAGAAGAGATGAGGTTTCACTGTGTTGGCCAGGCTGGTCTTGAACTTCTGACCTCACATGATCCACCCACCTCGGCCTCCCAAAGTGCTGGGATTATAGGTATGAGCCACTGTGCCCTGCCTACTTTACTTTTTATCCCATTTTCTGTTTGCCCTGAGAATACTCTTGTCTCTGATCCTAATGTAACATCATATCCGTTTTTGTTACATTAGGATTAGAGACAAATTCTGTTTAGAAATAACTCCAAGAACAGTTTTTCTATTTTATTTTCACATTGACAATTAGTCAAATTTGCTTCAGCCTCAAAGAGCATGTTTATGTAAAGCTGGGCACTTGCAGCCAGCTGCACTATTTTTTTTTCTAAATGGGTTAAAAATTAAAAATTATTCACTTCTCATTACAAAAGTAAATCACTTTCTCCATTCCCATGTACCAGTTAATTTCATTTTATGTAAAAATAAAATGCAGGCTGGGTGCAGCGGCTCGCGCCTGTTAATCCTAGCACTTTGGAAGGCCGAGGCGGGTGGATCACTTGAGGTCAGGAGTTTGAAACCAGCCTGGCCAACATGGTGAAACCCCATCTCTACTAAAATACAAAAATTAGCCAGGCGTGGTGGTGTGTGCCTGTAATTCCAGCTACTCAGGAGGCTAAGGCAGGAGAATGGCTTGAATCTGGGAGGTGGAGATTACAGTGAGCTGAGATCATGCCGCTGCACTCCAGCCTGGGCAACAGAGTGAGACTCTGTCTCTAAATAAATAAATAAATACAATACAATACAATAAAAAATAAGATGCAGCTCAAATATCTTAATTTCTTCTGAATTAGCTCTTATGTAAAAAAAAAAGTTTCCTCACCACCGGCCTAAAGGCTCCCCAGTCTCCAGCCTCTCCATCCTCTAACATCTACACCCTCTCAATCCTCAAAAGAGTTCTTCTTCTAAAATGCAAATGTGATTCAGGCACTCTTAGAATTAAAAATTCCCAGTCCCTAAAAATAAAGTCTCAATGTCACCAGCTATTCAATCTCACCTCCTCTTTTAACATCTTCATCTCCAATAATATCCCAGCCACGGCTTTCACAGGCTGATCTCTTCCTGGACCAGCTCATTCTGTTAACCCACTGAGCGCCTAATAAGCCTGGAAAACCCAGCTCAAGAGTCGCCTTCTGTTCCCAAGTGTCCACAGGGCAGAATGAATCACTCATTTTGTGCTGCTGAATCTTTAACATATGTTTACTCTAACACTGAACACAAAATTCCACACTTACTTATCGATAGAACCGTTGCTCCTGTTCTGCAGGGGCTCTCTTACGGGCATATTCTGCCAAGTAATCTCTGTTTACCCATGTCCAGCAGGGTCTTTGGTGCCTGGTAGATGCTTATCAAACTCTTACACAGCTTTATCACTGATTTAAAAAGTGAACCATTGTTTAAACTATGGATTAGCCAAGGCCAAGATGTGGCCATCAATTAGTAATATGCCAAATATCCCACGAGGGTCACCCTCCCCCGGGCTCACCAGTGATGAGTGGGACACAGTCAATTTTACAGAGATTGCATTTTATTTTTTATTTTTATATTTATTTATGTATTTAGAGACAGGTTCTCTCACTCTGTCTCCCAGGCTGGAGTGCAGTGGTGCAATGTCAGCTCAATGCAACCTTTGCCTCCCAGGCTTGAGTGATCGTCCCACCTTGGCCTCCCAAGTA
Organism: Homo sapiens; assembly: GCF_000001405.40. Taxonomy (NCBI): domain Eukaryota; kingdom Metazoa; phylum Chordata; class Mammalia; order Primates; family Hominidae; genus Homo; species Homo sapiens. The sequence continues at coordinate 246,621,882 of NC_000001.11, read as the reverse complement.
GCTGGGACTACAGGTGTGCACCACCATGCCCGGCTAATTTTTGTATATTTTGTAGAGATGGGGTTTCGCCATGTTGCCCAGGCTGGTCTTGAACTCCTGAGCTCAAGCCATCCACCCACCTCAGCCTCCCAAAATGCTGGGATTACAGGCATGAGCCACTGCGCCCAGCCAAGACAGCATTTTAGATCATTCCAAACACTGCTAGGGGAATTTTCGTGAGGCTGAAAGTGAAGGGTTTACCAGAGTACCTGATGAAGGCAAAGGGGAAGTGCTCTTGAATCCAACTGCTCAACTTCACCTCGTATAAGTGAAAACAGAGACTGCAGAACAAGCTTTGGCGCCTCTGGCTGCTCATTAGCATTTACTTCAGCAGCTTCTTCATCATCAACAGCATATGTGACTGCGCTTAGTACTTTTTCTTGCATTAAAGGTGCAATATCTCCTGAAAAAAGTCCTTTAAGAAGTAAAGAAAATGCCTATGTTAGGATCAATTCCCATGATGGTGTAACACATTAAAACAATTACATATAGTTTGATGCCCTGGCTTGCCCAAACTAAAACAGACCTGAACAGGAAGGTAAATGTGTTTATCATATGAAACCACTAAAGAAGTTGAGTCTTTCTGATTAAACTCTGTCTGATAACATCAGAAATACTTCTAGATGCTAGGAGAGTAGCAGGAATTCAGATGCCAGAGCTAATGGCTAGTCAAATGTTTTTCCTAATAAAAAGAAGTAACACAAACTTCTCAAAAATCACTAATAAATAAATGCTTAACTAACAGCTACTGAAATACACCAAATTTTAAACACTGTTATAAATTATAACTTCACCCTTCACTGAAATCTCAGTGTCAGTTTTAATATTCATGTTCAAATTTAATAGACTATCTGCCTATGTGCATACCTTTAGCTAGACTGCCTCAGAAAGGAACTTCTTCAGTAATACCGTGTGTATGCACGACTGAAGCCATCCTCCCTGTAGTGCCCAGAGCCCATAGTGTGTACGCATGACTGAAGCCATCCTCCCTGTAGAGTGTGCCCAGAGCCCGTCGTGTGTATGCACGACTGAAGCCGTCTTCCCTGTAGAGTGTGCCCAGAGCCCATCGTGTGTATGCATGACTGAAGCTGTCCTCCCTGTAGTGTTCCCAGAGCCCATCGTGTGTATGCACCACGACTGAAGCCGTCCTCCCTGTAGTGTTCCCAGAGCCCATCGTGTGTATGCACGACTGAAGCCGTCCTCCCTGTAGAGTGTTCCCAGAGCCCATCGTGTGTATGCACGACTGAAGCCGTCCTCCCTGTAGTGTGCCCAGAGCCCATCGTGTGTATGCACCACGATGAAGCCGTCCTCCCTGTAGTGTTCCCAGAGCCCATCGTGTGTATGCACCACGATGAAGCCGTCCTCCCTGTAGTGTTCCCAGAGCCCATCGTGTGTATGCACGACTGAAGCCGTCCTCCCTGTAGAGTGTGCCCAGAGCCCATCGTGTGTATGCACGACTGAAGCCGTCCTCCCTGTAGAGTGTTCCCAGAGCCCATCGTGTGTATGCACGACTGAAGCCGTCCTCCCTGTAGTGTTCCCAGAGCCCATCGTGTGTATGCACGACTGAAGCCGTCCTCCCTGTAGAGTGTTCCCAGAGCCCATCGTGTGTATGCACCACGATGAAGCCGTCCTCCCTGTAGTGTGCCCAGAGCCCATCGTGTGTATGCACCACGATGAAGCCGTCCTCCCTGTAGTGTTCCCAGAGCCCATCGTGTGTATGCACCACGATGAAGCCGTCCTCCCTGTAGTGTTCCCAGAGCCCATCGTGTGTATGCACGACTGAAGCCGTCCTCCCTGTAGAGTGTGCCCAGAGCCCATCGTGTGTATGCACGACTGAAGCCGTCCTCCCTGTAGAGTGTTCCCAGAGCCCATCGTGTGTATGCACGACTGAAGCCGTCCTCCCTGTAGTGTTCCCAGAGCCCATCGTGTGTATGCACGACTGAAGCCGTCCTCCCTGTAGAGTGTGCCCAGAGCCCATCGTGTGTATGCACCATGACTGAAGCCGTCCTCCCTGTAGAGTGTGCCCAGAGCCCTGCCTTCTACTGCCCTGTAGTTCATATCTTTGGATTTGAATGTGAAACCCACTGCCCTGGCCAGACTGGTCCATTCTTCATCTCCCAAAGTAAAATACTTCCTGCCTTTCTGAGCAATTACAGATCCTAACGGCTAGAATATTTTCCTCCTGTTTAAGCCTATTTATGTTCTACTCTAATAAAATCCACATCTTTCCCTATAACATGAGCTTGAAGTCAAGTTACTTTCCTCTGAACCTGGTATATGGCCTCGTATGACGCTAGGTTGCAGTACAGTAATTGGTTTAAGATGTCATCTTCTATTTCACATCAACGCTGGCAGCACAGGGGTTATTCCAGTGATACCCAGCATGGTGTCTTCAACACTACAATTCCACGTGCTGTGCTTCTTTAAAAAATCACCTACAGTGATTACTTGTATTTTAGAGAATTCTCTTCTAGACACTTTATGTTGCTATACATTTTGGCCATTAGAAGTACAAGGCCCAGTGATGGCCTGCCATTTTTTAGGGTATTTCTAAAAACAGGAGGTGATTCTTCTGCTTTCTAATTTTCTAACCACCATAGCAGCAAAACCAAAAGGGTACCAATGTGGGTAAAGGAGTTTTCCACGGAGAACTACAAAGAAACTAAGAGAATTAGTGTTTTTTTTTTTTCCCTTTTCTCTAGCTACACTACTATGCCCAAGACATTTAATCTCATAGACTGTGATAAGGTCAGCTTCCCAAATTCTATTCTTCTGTTGATGACATTATTCCCCTATAGTTATCAGGGTATTACTCCAGGCTTCTTTGTAAAAAACAGATGAGATTTTGTGATGCTTGTTTTTAGTAAAAGGGAGCTAAATAAAACCCTTGAAGACTATTGCCAAAGAAGGATGGACTTTCAAAGTTAAGGAAAAAGGACAGAATTGATGACTCCCTTTCCAAAGGAGATCAAAAAAGGGTCCTGGATAATCGGCAACCTGCATCGTGGTTATCTCGGTTATTTAGTTAGCATCGATTTGTAATGGTCAAGTTTCCTGCTTGATCCATTTTATCACCTACTTTAATATTCAATGTTACTGATATTAAAAAGCAATACATTGGTAAATAAAATGATGTAACCAGAGAAACTCAACAGAAAGGGGACTATTATTCATGAAACCTAACAGCAGAAGTTCCAAAAGCCCACAGAAGTCTAAGGATTCCAAGAGCAGCAGGGGGCTAATGGGCAATTAGAAAGAATATCGTACTTTAATCATTGAGTGTAGGGAGGGGAAGGAAAATATGATCTAGGCTCAGAGGGGTCACACTAAATCACTGAAGACGTTAGCAAAACTACAAGACTCATACTACAAAAGGATTATCTGTCAGGCCTTAAACAACATGAGCTTCAGAGATAACCATTACTATACAAAACCATCTTACCTTGAGATAACATTCCTTGTGGGGACAGAGTAATATAAAATCAGAGAGCACTGGGAAAGGAGCAAGAGACTTCAGTTCTGCTATGATTTTTCCAAGAGACCTTCGATTAGACTTTTTACTTGCTGACCTATATAGTTTCCTTACCTAAAACGAAGAGATTGGATAGAGAAGTTCTCTAGTTCTGACCATCAAAAACATTCAAAATCTCCAGAGGTTTTGCTACATAAGAAATGCAGACCATTACTGTGAAGAAGCTTGAGCAACTATTTACGATAATGGAAGGTAAGGTTACCCACCTAATACAAGTATCTTCTAGTTCCTTTCTGGGTGTATTTTTAAAACCATTGTTCCTCCCTTGCCTAGACTGGTGACTACACAAATAGTGGTGTGTTTGCTTTTCAGGCAAGAAAACTGAATGTCCTTGCAAGAAGCGTGCTGCAATACTCCCTACCAAAGAGCAGGTTGTTCTTCTAGCTCTGCCAAGCTCTTAGAATAGAATTCTATCGTGGCTCAAATAATCATAGCAATTGTTATACATGTTATGAAATGACCAAGGATGTACTTTACTTTAGGCACATATAAAATAGGAAAGTAACACTAGCCATATTCTGGTTGCTTGGAATTTTAAGCCACTTAAAATATGGTGTTCTTAGTTTCACAGCATTAATGGGGTAAAGAACTCATATTAGAAAACTGTTGCCAAAGAGTTGGAAGAATGACATGGATATTAAGGCAGCCCTAAGTTCTCAGCATGCTTCACCTACTTATTAGCCATACTTTTGGCAAGTTAATCTCTTTGATCCTCTATTTTTTCCTCTGTAACATGGGGGCTGTTGCATCTACCTTATAATATTAGTGTGAGGATTAAATGAGACAGTGCATGCCAAAAGCAGGAGTGCCCCTAAGTCTCAGCCTGAAAAACAGCTTTATTGTCACTTAACTGAAAAAGGTCACAAGAGTGGTAAAGCAGTTCTGAGACAAGTCCAATCTTATTTGAGGACAAACATTCAGAGGAAAGTGTAGTTAAAGCTAATAAAGTTTATATGACTCATGTCATAGTGAATAATAGGAGTTATAAGAACTAAGCTGGAGTATTAAATTGCTTAGGTTATTATTCACCAATACTGTAGGTTTGAACATCATTGAGCTTGTATATATTTTTTCACATTTTATCATACAATATGTAGCCTTTTCAGATTGCCTTCTTTCACTTAGTAACATGCATTAAATTTTCCTCTATGTCTTTTAATGCTTGACAGTTCATTTCTTTTTAGTAAGGGATAATATGCTAAGAGCTTATTTTTAGTAAAAGCAATAATAAAGAAAATAAACATTAGCATAATCAGGAGTACTTAGACTGATGTGCTGTGAGTTGACAATTGTGAATTGTGTGTCTTTATAATATACTAAGATTTTAAAGTAATATTAAAGCATTCATGATGTAACACGGAAATTTTAGTATTTTTCCGTGTGAATTTCAAAAAATTTTTATTATTACGTTTGATGTCACATGAGTCTTACAAAGTTTTGCTTGAAAAAAAAAAGTATTGGCCGGGCGCAGTGGCTTACCCCTGTAATCCCAGCACTTTGGGAGGCCAAGGTGGGCGGATCATGAGGTCAAGAGATTGAGACCATCCTGGCCAACATTGTAAAACCCCGTGTCTACTAAAAATACAAAAATTAGCCGGGCGTGGTGGCGTATGTATGTAGTCCCAGCTACTCGGGAGGCTGAGGCAGGAGAACTGCTTGAACCCGGGAGGCGAAGGTTGCAGGGAGCCAAGACTGGGCCACTGCACTCCAGCCTGGCAACAGAGTGAGACTCCAACTCAAAAAAGAAAAAAGAAAAAAATAAGTCTCATTCTGTTGCTCAGGCTGGAGTGCAGTGGCCCAATCATGACTCACTGAAGCCTCAACCTCCCAGGCTCAAGCGACCCTCCCACCTCAGTGTCCCGAGTAGCTGGAACCACAGGCACACACCACCAAGCCCGGATGATTTTTAAATTTTCTGGGGGGGCAGTGGGGGTGGTGTCTTGCTATGTTGCCCAGGCTTGTCTTCAACTTCTGGCCTCAACTGGTCCTCCCATCTTGGCCTCCCAAAATGCTGGGAGTACAGGCGCCAGCCACCATGTCTGACCTAAAATTCCTTCTGATACACAAAAAGTTTTCAAGATATATTTATAGTTAAGGAGAAAAACCAAATCAAAACATACCGCCCCATGTAATTCCCTACAAAATCTCACTCAATATAAATGAAGCTTTCTGCTGCCACATATGAATCCATATAGCTAGACAAGAACAAAAAGTTCTATTTATCGTTGTCATCCGTGAAAGCCAAGTGACCTATAGTTAAAAACTACCCATTAAATAACTTGGTGATGCTATTTATAAGTATTTAAAGACAGTAACAGGCACATTCATAAGACCTAATTTAAGACCTGTCAACTTCATTAAGCTCTAAAATGGAGATGACAGTTTACATGTAACTACTAAGGGTTTCAGAGATGTGGTTTCTTTTTTTTTTTGAGATGGAGTTTCTGCTCTTTTTGCCCAGGCTGGAGTGCAATTGCACAATCTCGGCTCACCGCAACCTCCACCTCCTGGGTTCAAGCTATTCTCCTGCCTCAGCCTCCCGAGTAGCTGGGATTACAGGTATGCATCACCATGCCAGGCTAATTTTGTATTTTTAGTAGAGACGGGGTTTCTCCATGTTGGTCAGGCTGGTCTTGAACTCCCGACCTCAGGTGATTCACCTGCCTCGGCCTCCCAAAGTGCTGGGATTACAGGCGTGAGCCACCGTGCCCGGCCCAGAGATGGGGTTTCATTATGTTACCCAGGCTGGATTTGAACTCATGGACTCAAATGATCCTCCTGCCTCAGTCTCCTGAGTAGCTGTGAAGAGGTATTATTTCTTTTTAAAAATTATTTGTGGCCGGGCACAGTGGCTCACGCCTGTAATCCCAGCACTTTGGGAGGCCGAGGCAGGCGGATCACGAGGTCAGGAGATCGAGACCATCCTGGCTAACACGGTGAAACCCCGACTCTACTAAAAATACAAAAAATTAGCCGGGCCTGGTGGCACGCGCCTGTAGTCCCAGCTACGCGGGAGGCTGAGGCAGGAGAATGGCGTGAACCCGGGAGGCGGAGGTTGCAGTGAGCCGAGATCGCGCCACTGCGCTCCAGCCTGGGTGACAGAGCGAGACTCCGTCTCAAAGAAAAAAAAATTTTTTTTTTGTAATAACCATGGGCCAAAGACTGGGGAAATTACCTTGATTGAGAAATTTTATTCAATTGATCACACCGCCTGAATTCTGTGTCAGTTCTAACATATAACTGCTCCGTTTAGCTTAGAATCTATCTCTGATAATGGTCAAGAGGCATTTTGTGAAACAATATAGTAGTATCCTTTAATGACTTTTACCTTAAAACACTAGGAATGTACCCTGACATTCACGTTCCTTTTAATAGTCTAGCATTGATCGGCAGATATTCACAATGCTCTGTGAATATCACTAAGGATATTACCATTTCTTTGCATGATTGGGAAAATGATGTGACTGGATGTTTAAGAGCAAAATCTCACAGCTGGTACTCTAGTTAGTAAGTAATTAAGAGAATAAAAAATTATTGCAGTCAGCCGGGCATGGTGGCTCACATCTGTAATCTCAGCACTTTGGGAGGCTGAGGTGGGCAGATCACGAGGTCAAGAGTTCAAGACCAGTGTGACCAACATGGTGAAACCCCGTCCCAACTAAAAATACAAAAATTAGCTGGGCGTGGCGGCGCATGCCTATAATCCCAGCTACTCAGGAGGCTGAGGCAGGAGAATCACTTGAACCCAGGAAGTGGAGGTTGTAGAGAGCGAGACTGTCTCCAAAAAAAAAAAAAAAAATTTATTGCAGTCAAAATGGGGACTGGAAAGATGTCACACAGAAAACACCAAGGCCTAGGTAAAGAGTGGCAATTATTATATATACGATGATACAGGTTAAGCATCTCTGATCTGTAAATCTGAAATCCGACATGCTCCAAAACCTGAAACTTTTTTAGTGCTGACAAGATGCCACAGGGAGAAAATTCTATACCTAACTTCATGTGAGAGGTTACAGTCAAAGTTTTATTTCATGTATAAAATTATTTTAAAATATTGTATAAAATTACCTTCAGTCTCTATACACAGGGTGGGTATAGGAAACATAAAAAAGCTGTGTTTAGACTTGGGTCCCATCCTCAAGATATCTCACTATATATATGCGAATATTCCATAATCAAAAAAAAACCTGAAATATGAAACACTTCCAATCTCAAGCATTTTGGATAAGGGATGTTCAACCTGTAGTGTTACTGATGCATAAACTAAGCTGATGGGCATTTTTGAGGATAGGGAAGGGTTATTTAAAGACCTCACACAGGCCAAGTGCAGTGGCTCATGCCTGTAAGCTCAGCACTTTGGGAGGCCAAGGCAGGTGGATCACCTGAGGTCAGGAGTTCGAGACCAGCCTGGCCAACATGGTGAAACCTATCTATACTAAAAATACAAAAAATTAGCTGGGCATGGTGGTGTGCACCTGTAGTTCCAGCTACTCGGGAGGCTGAGGCAGGAGAATCACTCGAACCTGGGAGGTGGAGGTTGCAGGGAGCCGAGATCAGGCTACTGCACTCCAGCCTGGAAGACAAAGCTAGACTCAGAAGAGGGAGACGGGAAGAGGGAGAGAGGGAGAGAGGAGGAGAGGTAGAGAGGAGGAGAGAGAGAGAGAGAAAGAAAGAATAAAAAAAGGCCTCATACAGTTCAAATATTGTATACTACTATTCAGAGTACAAGTACCCTATCATTCAAAACTACATTCGCTGCTTTTATACAAATACTTTCTTTGATCCAAGTGTTAAAGCTTCCTTTCACTGCAATGAAACTAGATCAAATTAAAAATCTGAGAGAAGGTTATGCCATTATTCAGAGACGATTACTGAAACAAACCCAAATCCACTACTTCCCTTAAGAGTGAACCATCCACCTTTTCTCTGATTGTGTTTTGTCTTGCTGAGGCTGGCAGGCAGGAATCATAGCCACCAACACACCCTGAGGAAAGGAATGTGCAATAATTGTTCTGCGGCAAATTGTGGAAAGTCATGTATTGCTTTAAGCACACTTTTAAAGTTCAGCAAAAGTGAGATAGTATAGCTTAACCATTAGACACAAAGTCTGAAGTCAGACTACCTGGGATGAAGTCCTGGGATGTACTTTATCTCAGTGATACACTTTTCAGCAATGACATCGGGCACGTTACTTAATCTCTCTGTGCTTCAGATCCCACATCTATAAATTGGAGCTAATTGTATTATGCTTGATAAGATTGTGACAAGGAGTAAATGAGATAATCCACATAAAGCATGTACCACAGTGGCTGGCATATAGTAAATAATAAATGCTCGAGAACTATGTTTTAAAACTCAGCAAATTTCAATTAGTTAAGCTTTGTATGTCCCTAACACTGAGTTTGGAGTGTTATATATATATTTTTTGAGACAGGGTCTCACTCTGTCACCCAGGCTGGAGTGCAGTGGTACAATCATGGCTCACTGCAGCCTCGACCTCCCCAGTTCAAGTGATCCTCCCACTGCAGCCTCTGAAGTAGCTGGGACAACAAGTGCACACCCCCTGGCTAATTTTTGTATGTATTTTTTTAGAGATGGGGTTTCACCATGTTGCTCAGACTGGTCTCGAATTCCTGGGCTTAAGCAATCTGCCCGCCTTGGCCTCCCAAAGTGCTAGGATTATTGGATCGAACCACTGCGCCTGACCTGTTATGATTTTGGGGGGCTATTTTTTTAAAAAAACATAACACAAAATTTAACATTTTAAACATTTTAAGGTATACAATTCAGTGGCATTAAACACGTCCACAGCTGGCCACGGTGGCTCACGCCTGTAATCCCAGCACTTTGGGAGGCTGAGGCAGGTGGATCACCTGAGGTCAGGAGTTCGAGACCAGCCTGCCCAACATGGCGAAACTCCGTCTCTACTAAAAGTACAAAAAATTAGCTCGGCGTGGTAGCATGCACCTGTAATCCCAGCTACTTGGGAGGCTGAGGCAGAAGAGTCACTTGAACCTGGGAGGTGGAGGTTGCAGTGAGCCAAGATTGTGCCACTGCACTCTAGTCTGGGCAACAAATGCAAAACCCTGTCTCAAACAAACAAAAAAATACATTCACAATGTTGTTCAATCATCACCACTATCCATTTCCAAAACTTTTCATCATTCCCAAAGAGAAACTCAGTGCTCATAAAATACTAATTCTTCATTCCCCTTTGCTCCAGCTCTGGAAACCTCTATTCTACTTTCTGTCTCTGTGAATTTGCCAATTCTACATAGCTTATATAAGTGGAATCATAAAATATTTGTCCTTTTGTGTCTGGTTTCTTTTACTTAGCATACTGTCCTCAAGGTTTATCTGTGCTGTAGCATCCATCCAACCATACGTAGCGTGTATCAGATTAGCATTCCTTTTTAAATCTGAACATTTCATTATATGTATATACTACATCTTGTTTATCCATTCATCAGTTGATGGACATCTGGATTGTTTCTACCTTTTTGCTACTGTGAATAATGCTGCTATGAACCTTAGTGTACAAGTATCTGCTCGGGTCCTTGCTTTCTATTCTTTTGGGTATATACCTAGAAGTTAATGGCTGGATTAAATGGTAATTCTATGTGTAACTGTTTTCCTAAAGCTCTATTATTTTAACTCTATCTCAACCAGTGTCTTGAGACTTCAATATCTGTGCTGGTTTTTTTCCATCTCTAAAACAGAGATAATATTACTTCCCAAAGATTAATTGGTTTGAGTTTCTAAATCAATGACATCCTTATCTAAAATATGCTTTTGTATAAAAATATGAAATAGTAGTACTCTTTCAGAGCAGTTCGATCTAATTCCATCCCTCTGGGCACAGTTCTTGCTACTGGAAGCCCTAAAATGAAAAGGCCTTGAGTGTCATAAGCAAAATGACAGAACAGGCAGCTTCAAACTCTGAGGCTTTCACAGAAATATTTTAAAAAAAAACAACATCCAGAACTATAAGATGTAACTTTCTTAGAACTGTGAAAAACAAAGGTATGCCTGAACAAGACAGTGACCACCGAATCAAGAGAAAGGCAATGTCAAAAGAGTAGCAAAGCTTTGGGTGTTTTTACTTGCCCTTACCTCACCCCTTTCCCCAGCTCAACAGCAGCCCTCATTCCCAGTGTGGCACCCCAGTACTTGCTTTTGAAGGGAGCAGAGCAGATCTTACTTGCAAATCACTGTGTTTGTTCTAATCTGTCTGGGGCTACCCAAAGACTGAAACAAGGCACTTGCCTCTCTGTTGCAAAACTCAGAACACGTTCAGAGCAGAAAAGCAGCAGGTGTTGCTGGAAAATATTGTCAGGTGATCAAAAACCCACGGCCAAGCGGGCGGAGGGGTGCAAAAAAAATACGGTTGAGGCATAAACTAGACAATCTAAAGCCAGGGGGAAAAGCCAGGAAGATCGCTTCCTTGGGAAATCAGAGCATTCAAAAATGTTTGTGGTACTGTAGAATTCAGAAAGCTACACGCGACAGCTCAGGACACGACGCACGCTTAGAAAGGGCCAGAGAAGACCCATCAACTTAGTGCAAGCAGAAGTGAAGGCTGGGGCAGAATTATAGATGACCTGGCTAAGTGTTAAAGGAGTACCTGAGCACAGAGCCAATCTGAAAGACTGGAAAAGAAACACAAGCTAAGGCTTCAGCAATCAAGAACAGCCAACCCTGAACAAAGGCGAGACCCTAATTTCCAGAGTTACCACATCATAATACACCAATGTCCGGTTTTCAATACAAAGACATCACCAAGCATATCAAAAAAACAGTACAGTGTGGCCCATTCTGGTGAAAGAAATACATAGACAGAAAACATCCCGGAAGAAGCCGAGACATTGAATTTCCTGGGCAAAGAATTTAAATCAACTGTCTTAAAAGAAACCATAGATGAAGAACTAAAGGAAATCAGGAAGACAATGTAGGAAAAAATGAGAATATCAATAAAAAAGACAGAAAATATAAAAAAGAATGGGGAGGTTTTTTGTTTGTTTGTTTGTTTTTGCGACGGAGTCTCGCTCCATTGCCCAGGCTGGAGTGCAGTGGCACGATCTCAGCTCACTACAACCTCTGCCTTCTGGGTTCAAGCAATTCTTTGCCTCAGCCTCCCAAGTAGCTGGGATTACAGGTGCTCGCTACCATGCCTGGCTAATTTTTTGTATTTTTAGTAGAGATGGGGTTTCACCATCTTGACCAGGCCAGTCTTGAACTCCTGACCTCATGATCCACCCGCCTCAGCCTCCCAAAGTGCTGGGATTACAGGCCTGAGCCACTGCGCCTGGCTGGGAGTTATTGTTTAATGGCACAGAGATTCTGTTTGGGGAGATAAAAGTTTTAGAAATAGATATAAATGATGGTTGCACAACATTATGAATGTAATTAATGCCACTGAACTGTAGAATGAAATGGTTAAAATGGCACATTTATGTACAGAAAAAAATGTCTTCAGTTCTGTGATTTAATGGGTCTTTGAGTCATTGCATAACCGAATTCCTCAAACCGCCTTACCCATTAATGCTGATGCATATCTTGGGCATAATTTTGGAAGGCAGATCAGAAATAAATTTTAACACACGCTTGATGTGGTTCCTGTGAAGAATCTCTCTGCCCTGCTCCCTTTTTCTGACATGTTTCATCCTCTAAGGTTCTGATCAATGCCATGAAAATGGAAAGGAGGGTGAAGGACAATGCTCACTTTTTTTTCTTTGAGACAGAGTTCCGTTCTTGTTGCCCAGGCTGGAGTGCCATGGCATGATCTCGGCTCACTGCAGCCTCTGCCTCCCAGGTTCAAGCAATTCTCCTGCTTCAGCCTCCCAAGTAGCTGGGATTACAGGCGCCCACCACCATGCCCATATAATTTTTTGTAGTTTTAGTAGAGACGGGGTTTTGCCATGTTGGCCAGGCTGGTCTCAAACTCATGGCCTCAGGTGATCCGCCTGCCTCAGCCTCTCAAAGTGCTGGCATTAAAGGCGTGAGCTGCCGTGCCTGGCCAGTGCTCACCTTTTAAATACCTCCAGTCATTGGCTAACCATACCGAAGCAGCAAACAGGAAACATCCCTTCCTTTTCCTCAACACTAGACACGGGTATTATGACTGAAATAAATCTGGAAATTAGTCAACTTCCTTCTGACCTGACCTCGGGCCAAAAGAATGTATTATGTGATTATGACATAATTACCACGTGCTGAGTGTGCCATGCTCCCTCCCACACCCCCGGGTTGCACCCTCTGCCTGCAGAGGGAGTGATGCAGGGCTTCACTGAAGAGCTTAGGCTGGAGTCCAGCTGCCCTGTTAACCTAAAGTAAGCAACCTGACTCGCTCAACCCGTCTTCTTGTAAACTAATGGCAAAAGGTTAAATAAGGTGACGTACAACGTACATCCAGAATTTACTAGGCATACAACATGGCGACACTATTCTTGCACTTGAGTGTTGACTAAGTGGTTTTAATGTCAATACAGGGACGGGAAGACAGGAACAGCCACTGGACTTGATTTCAGGTGGCAGTCTTAAAACGAACCTCATGAAACTCCAGTGGAATTTGAAAAATGCGTGGGAACAAGAGCTCCCTTAGGCTGCTAACGGCCAAGGCTCCCCATCCCTTGGTGCTTAGGTTGTAAAAGCAGGTAACCCACGGGCTTAAATCCTGTTGATCACACAGCATTTATGTGACTCCCGCAAGCTCCACCACTGTCTAGAGCCTGCTTCAGGCTTTCTAATCAAGGCACAATCAGTACACATAAATATTTCTGGGATTTAGCATCTAAATTATGTAGAACATGTCAATAAGCATTAATGTTTGGATTCTCTACTTTTCCTCTCAGAAGTTTGATTAGACATTTTACACTTTAACACGTTTTATTAAAAACTAAAACTGTGTAAGACATTTGCCCAAGCATGCAATTTGTGATGCTAATTCTTAAACCTCTTCTTTTTTAAAAAAACGTTAAAGACAGGGTCTCTGTTGCCCAGGCTACAGTACAGTGGCAGGATCATACAAACTCGAACTCATGGGGTCTAGTGATGATCCTCCTACCTCAGCCTCTTGAGTCAATGGGACCTCAGGCACATGCCACCATGCCCAGCTAATTTAAATTATTTATTTATTATTTATTTATTTGTTTTTTTTGTAGAGACAGGTTCTCTATGTTTTCCAGGCTGGTTTTTGTTTTGTTTTGTTCTGTTTTCTTGTTGTTTTGTTTTTTGAGACGGAGTCTTGCTCTGTTGCCGGGCTGGAGTGCAGTGGTGCAATCTCGGCTCACTGCAATGTTCACCTCCCCGGTTCAAGGGATTCTCCTGCCTCAGCCTCCCGAGCAGCTGGGACTACAGGCGGGTGACACCATGCCCGGCTAATTTTTGTATTTTCAGTAGAGATGGGGTTTCACCATGTTGGTCTGGATGGTCGCGATCTCTTGGCCTCGTGATCCGCCCACCTCTGTCTCCCAAAGTGCTGGGATTGTAAGCGTTGAAAGATTCTCCCCGGGGCCTGAAAGCTTGGGGGGATGAATAACTCCTCCCTTCTCAGGCCCAGTCCCAAAGCACACTTGCGCCAGCAGCATGTGTCACCAAGGTAGCCGAAGCAGGAAGAGGGCTGGCCGGAAGACATTACTCCTGAGGATCGAGAGAGAGGCCATCCGGGTACCACGTAGCAGTGACGTCAGACAGGGACACTTCCTGTTTACAGGAGACTGTAAAACCCCTGCCCGGTCCTCACGTGGGGCTGACGCCATCTCAGGCCTCAGCCCGTCTGCACCCAGGCGCTCTTTAAACAGCGTGAGGCTCCACACTGCCTTGTGCTGTCTGTTGGCGCGCTCCCGGGGTTAACTCCCCCGAAAATCACCCGTGGTACTTCCATCCCTTTATACAAAAACCATAAGCAGACGTATCCCCTCCCTAGCCAGGAAAAAACCGGTTTGTAGATCTAGGAGAGGGCATCGCGCTTACCACGAATGTGTCCAATTGCTGGGTATGCGGGGGAGCCCGCAGGAGTGAACAGTGGCCGTGGCATGGGATAGACCTTCCCCCTTAATTACTAGCATTTCAAAACCCCAGCCTCACTTTGAATTCTCAGGAACGCCCGTCGACCTGGACACTTACCAACCCAGTAAGAGGGACGGCGTGCATATCCCGCAAGTGGACTGATAAAACCCATCGTGCCGCAGGTGAAAGCCCGTCACCAAACCCTAACAGTCAACGCCTCCACAGCCGAGTGGTGGCCAAGGTTACCCCCCGGAGCCTGGTCTCCCTCTAACTTCAGCTACCTCAATTGTGTCTTGTCAAAAAAGGCCTGGAACTGTACAAACACCACTAACTCTTCTGCCACATACGCCTGCCTAAGTGCACTATGCGACAATCCTAGGAACACCAGCTGACGACGGACTGCCCCGATGGATTCCTTTGGATATGGGGAACCCAGGCTTGCTCACGGCTACCTTAGCACTAGCTTCCTACGCACAATTCAACCTGGATTCATCTTACTTCCAAAGCAGGCGGGCAACACCCTCGGAGTCCCTGCGTATGATAACCAGAGAAAAACGGTCCTTAAAGGCAGGAGGAAGCCAAAGACCGTGAGAGGACGAGTGGCCTCCGCAATGGATCATCGAATATTACGGTCCTGCCACCTGGGCTGAGGATGGTTCACGGGGTTATCGCACTCCCACATATATCCTAAATAGAATAATTAGACTACAGGCTGCTCTAGAGATAATCACTAACCAAACCGCCTCAGCCCTGGAAATGCTCGTGTGACAACAAAACCAAACGCACCCAGCAATTTATCAAAACAGGCTGGCTCTAGACTACTTATTAACAGAAGAGGGTGCGGTCTGTGCTAAGTTTAACATGTCCAATTGCTGTCTTAACATAGATGATAATGGAAAAGCGGTTCTAGAAATCGCTTCAAACATCAGAAAAGTAGCCCGTGTACCAGTCCAAACCTGGAAGGGATGGGACCCAACAAACCTTCTAGGAGGGTGGTTCTCTAATTTAGGGGGATTTAAAACGCTGGTAGGGACAGTAATCTTCATCATTGGGGTCCTCCTGTTTCTCCCCTGTGGTATCCCACTGATAATAAAAGCCATTAAAACTCTTGTTGAAACTACAGTTAACCGCCAGACAATCCAGACGATGCTCCTGCTACAACGACACGATGGATACCAACCCGTCTCTCAAGAATACGCCAAAATTTTTTCTTTTTTTCCGAGGTGCCCACGCCACCCCCTATGTCACACCTGAAGTAGTTATGGAGAAAGTCGCCCCTTTTCCCTTTTTCTATAACCAAATAGACAGGAATGAAAGATTCTCCCCGGGGCCGAAAGCTTGGGGGGATGAATAACTCCTCCCTCCTCAGACCCAGTCCCAAGGCGCAAGGCCGCTTGCACCAGCAGCGCGCGTCAGCGAGAAGCAGAAGCAGGAAGAGGGCCGGCCGGAAGACACGCACCCCGGCCGGAAGACACCTACCCCGGCTGGAAGACACGCACCCCGGCCGGAAGACACCTACCCCGGCCGGAAGACACCTACCCCGGCCGGAAGACACGCACCCCGGCCGGAAGACACCTACCCCGGCCGGAAGACACCTACCCCGGCCGGAAGACACCTACCCCGGCCGGAAGACACGCACCCCGGCCGGAAGACACCCACCACCGAGGATAGACAGAGAGGCCATCCAGGTACCACGTAGCCGTTACATCAGACAGGGACACTTCCTGTTTACAGGAGACTGTAAAACCCCTGCCCCGTCCTCATGTGGCGCTGACGCCATTTTAGGCCTCAGCCCGTCTGCACCCAGGCGCGCATTAAAACAGCGTGATGCTCCACACCGCCTTGTGCTGTCTGTTGGCGCGCTCCCGGGGTTCCAACTGATATTAGAGCCTTGCAGGCGTGAGCCACCGCGCCCGGCCCAGGCTGTTCTTTAACTCATGGACTCAAGCGACTCCCTTGCTTTGGCCTCCCAAAATGCTGGGATTATAAGTGTGAGTCACCGTGCCTAGCCAAATTCTTAAAACTACTTATCCAGGTCCACAAACAACTCAAGCACCATATTTTGGATTTTTCAAATCCGATTAAATTCATTGTTTATCCATTGGAAGTACACTGACTTTGCTAATATCAAAATGGCTAAATTTTACCATATTTTCCCTGTTCATTCCAAGCACACTGAATTCATCAACTATCAGAATTCTCAAAATTTACATGACCTTATAAGAAAGTATATGATTTTCTTACAAGTATATGATTTTCTCGTATGTCTGAAAATAAACATATTTTGTTTCTCTAACAAATATAAAGGCATGTATTTAAATTCAAAACAAAAATAATGGTGCATGTGCGGTGGCTCACGCCTGTAATCCCAGCACTCTGGGAGGCCGAGGCAGGCGAATCATGAGGTCAGGAGTCTGAGACCAGCCTGGCCAATATGGTAAAACCCCATCTCTACTAAAAATCCAAAAATTAGCCAGGCATGGTGGTGCATGCCTGTAATCCCAGCTACTTGGGAGGCTGAGGCAAGAGAATCGCTTGAACCCAGAAGGCAGAGGTTGCAGTGGGCGGAGATCACGCCATTGCACTCCAGCATGAGCAATACAGCAAGAGTGCAACTCAAAATAATAACAATAAATATAAGTATTATATATATATATTCCGTCTCCTGAAAATATATATATTTGTGGGAGAAGGGGGAGAGCCTAATAGCCAAAGCAAACCAAACAGTGAAATTTTCCTTAAAAGCCCCCCTTCTTTAATATTCCATAATTCTCTAAAAGCTACTAACATCAGAGATTCTCTTTGCAATTAATGAAATCATATAAGAACGGAAGCATTAGAAGCCCAGGGGTTAACCCTGAACTTTCAATAGATCAAAACAAACGCACAGAGAAACACATTTAATGGCATTTTATTATAGTTTACAGAAAATTGTTACATCAATTTCCATTACACTAGTAGTTTTTAAATTTTGTGGAGACAAATAACTACACCGTTTCTTCATATCATCAAACCAACTATCACCAAGCCCCTTTTTTTTTTCTTTTTTTTGAGATGGAGTCTTGCGTCTTCGCCCAGGCTGGAGTGCAATGGCGCGATATCGGCTCACTGCAGCCTCTGCCACCCGGGTTCAAGCAATTCTCCTGCCTCAGTCTCTCCAGTAGCCGGGCAGGGTGGCTCATGCCTATAATGGTACAGGCACGCGCCACCACCCCCGGCTAGTTTTTGTAGTTTTAGTAGAGATGGGGTTTCACCGTGTTGGCCAGTTGGCCAGGCTGGTCTCAAACTCCTGACCTCAGGTGATCCACCCGCCTAGGCCTCCCAAAGTGGTGGGATTACAGTGTGAGCCACCACGTCCAGCCTTTTTTTCTTTTAACGGCTTTACTGAGATATAATTCTCATAACACATAATTCAGTGGCTTTACTTCAGTATACTGTGTTGTACAACCATCACCATGTTACATTTTGGAACGTTTATTACCCCAAAGAGAAATCCCACATCCTTTAGCTGTCACCCCATCCCCCTACTGCCTCCCTAGCTCTAGGCAGCCAACTCATCTACTTGCTGTCCATATAGATTTGCCTATTCTGGACATTTCACACATATGTCCTCTTTCACTTAGCACCTTTTCAAGATTCATCCATGTTACACCATGTATTAGGATTTTATTTATTTTCATTGCTAAATAGCATGCATATAACCTCTACCTGCTTTTCATTTGTGTGACTACATTTCCAAATGTTCACTTGTGTGCCTTTTACAAACTAAGCGGCAGGCGCATATAACTTTGTTTAAAAAAACAAGACAACAAAAAACTCTTAATTGTAGTTCTCACCCTATCAGTGATGCCTAGAAACCATTATTTTAAACAAATGAAGACAAAACAGTCACTCTTTGTAGAGATCGTGATCCAGTAAAAACAAAAGGAGTAAACAGAAAAGCAAAAGGTGACTATTTAGAAAACGATTAAATATTGGAAAGTTTGACTTTCACAGTAAAGAACTGAGAAGCCAAGAGTCCCTAAACTCCCACCTAAGCTTCCACTAATCTGAGTCCTATAAAATCAGTAATAAAATACCGTATTTTAAAATATAGCCTATATGCTTATATCTAAAAACTTTTAAAAAGTCTTCATTCATCTAGGTTAATATGTATGTAACTGCATAAATATTCCCATGCATCTGGAGGTAAATCTCTTAATTTCTTAGTTTTGATTTCTTAATTTTTCTTCACATAAAATATCACATTACTTAAAAAATACCTAACTCATTACTGAGACTTGGAGAATGCTGTTTTTTGGGACAGAATTTGAAAGGTTTGATTGATTGTAATTCTTTTCTTTTTCACCTTCTCTCTGCATAGATACTGCATTTTAACAGCACGACTGAAATCATAAAAAAAAAAAACTAGACAAAAAGAAAACTATCTAACTGGGCTGTCTGTACCATCATATATCCTGGGTTCCACCTGCAATCTCAGGAAAGGTGTTCAGAGGGAAAAAAGGAACTGTGAATAGAATTGCCATTACATTCTCACGGGGTCCTTGCCACAATCTGAGGCACCGACTTTCTCCTGGCATCCTTTAAGATGGGCCCCCGTGATTCCTGCCTCTTGGTATTTGTGCCCTTTTACAACCTCCTCCCATAAGTACAAGTTGGACCCAGTAACCTGCTTCTAATGAAAGGAATATGCAGAAGTGATGGAATATCACTTCCAAAATTAGGTCATTAAAAAAGTATGACTTCCAGGTTGAGTGCTCTCTCTCTTTGACTGCTAGCCCTGGAGGAAGCCAGCTGTCATGGTGTAAGGCAGCCCTGTGGAGTGGGCCATGTGGCGAGGGTCTGAAGCCTGCCAAGAACCATGTGACCTTGGAAGCAGATTATCCAACCTCTATCAAACCTTGAGATGACTATAGCCCTGGCCAACCCTTGACTGCAACCTCATAAGAGACTTAAGTCAGAAGCTCCAAGCTAAGCCACACACAGATTCTGACCCACAAAAACCACGAGATGATACATGTTTGCTGTTTTCAGCTGCTAAGTTTTGTTACGCTGCAAGAGATAGCTAATGCACAGACCATGCACAATTCTTCAATTTTCTGCTTTTTTATTATATTTTGTTGATCCCTTCCTCTGACGTTTGTACTTTCAATTGTAACAAACACCTTTCCCAACACTCCTGGAAATGGTGCAGTCTGTTGGAAAGAGCTAGATAACAGCAGGGAATGCATTTCTATCATTCTAACCATCAGTTTAGGGTCCTCTTATAAGTAGGTGGTGTGTTACTCCCAACTATCAACCCTTAACTAAGCTTTCCACTAAAGGGTTTTCTCTCATTAGCATTCAGAATATCCAAGAGGTAATACTTCAAAACTCATCTCCTACCATCTTCCAAACTGCTCTCTCCATTCCATTCCACACACACACAGTGAATGTGTGTCAGTTCTAGAAGCAGACTATACACCCTTGCAATAATTTTATTTATTTATTTATTATTTTATTTTATTTTTGAGACTGAGTTTCGCTCTTGTTGCCCAGGCTAGAATGCAATGGCATGATCTCGGCTCACTGCAACCTCCGCCTCCCAGGTTGAAGTGTTTCTCCCGCCTCAGCCTCCTGAGTAGCTGGAATTACAGGCATGTGCCACCACGCCCAGCTAATTTTGCATTTTTAGTAGAGATGGGGTTTCTCCATGTTGGTCAGGCCGGTCTCCAACTCCTGACCTCAGGTGATTCACCCGCCTCAGCCTCCCAAAGTGCTGGGATTACAGGTGTGAGCCACCGTGCCAGGCCATTAATTTTATTTAATACCTGCCTTCCCACTGGACTCCACCAGGGGTCTAGGAGGGTAAGCACAAGATCTGCTTTGTCCTTACTGTATTCCTAATGCTTGGCAAATATTTCTACAATAGAAAAAATCACTAACAGTTGGTGGCTCATCATCATTTTTACCCTACCAACAGAACCTCATTGTTTTGTATTGTTTTGTTTTTTAATTTTTTGAGACAAGAGTCTCATTCTGTCACAGGATGGAGTGCAGTGGCGTGATCATGGCTCACTGCAGCCTTGACCTCCCAGGCTCAAGTGATCCTCCTGCCTCAGTCTCCTGAGTAGCTGGGACTACAGATGTATGCCACCACGCCTGCTATTTTTTTTATTTTTTGAAAAGACCAGGTCCTACTGTGTTGCCCAGGCTGGTCTTGAAACCCCTTGACTCAAGCAGTCCTCCTGCCTCGGCCTCCCAAAGTGCTGGGATTACAGGTGTGAGCCACCATGCCTGGCGTCTCATTGTTTGGTGGGAGAAGTAGGCCTCTGATGCATAGAAAACACATTCTAGCTCATTAGGAGCCCTAGATTCACATCCTAATTCTTATTCTGTCTCCTGCAAAAATGAACAATGTATTCTCTCAATTAAATCTTTAACTTCCTCACATGTAAAATCTAAGAAGTTAGACTAGGTCACTTTTAAGGCCCTCTCTAGCAACTCTCCCAAATCTGTATCTCTAGCCAAGACCAGAAGCCTGTTTAACAGGTCTACTCAGACGTCTACGACACCCCAGACACCTGACCCAAAAGCACAACACTGTCTTCTACTCTCTTCTCTCCAAACTTGCTCTTTCTCTCCCTGTATTCCTATGCTCAATAAATCAATAAATGGCATTATCAAGCATCCTGGTGCTTAAACCAGATAACTGAGAATTAGATTATCCTGGACTCTTTTTTTCATATCTAATTAATGATCCAGTCCTGTTAATTCCACCTCCTTAGTAACTCTGAATTCACTTACTTCTCTCCAGCCGTACAGCTACTCTCTCATTACAGATCACCAGCATCTCTGGCAGATGTTACTGTAAAACCCCTTAACTCTGTATTACTTCTAATCTTCCATTGCTCCAACCAATTCTCCACACTGCAGACTGAGGAATCTTCTAAAAAATGCAATTCCCTTATTCAAACCTGTTGTTAAGGCCCAAACTGGTCATGTTAAAAACAATTTATAAGCTGGACTTTGCTAATCTTCTAAGCCTCCATCTCTCTACTGCTCTACTCTCTACTATTTCCCCTTGATTCACTCTTTTCTTTTATTCTGCTCAAGCAGGAATATTAGCAGATACTGAAATGTAGGATGCTCTCTTCTTGTCTTGTGAGCTCTAGCCCATGGTACGCCTGCCATCTCTGACGTCCTTCCTCTCCTCTTTGTCCGCATTGCTTTTACTTCACTAGCACCTATTTGTCCTAACTCAGCTTAGATACCAACTCCTCCTGACAACCTTCTCTAACTCTCCAGGACAGGTTACCTCCACGACCATGTGCTTACTTATGACTCCCGTCTTGCTAGACTGCACTTGTTAGTTACGTGGCTCCCTCACTTGAGCATACAAAACTGAAAGGGAGGTGCACCAGCAGTTTTATAGTGCCCAGCAACAATGCTCAATAAATATCTATTGACTATGTAATCCTGTACGGGTCTACAAAATAATGTCAGAAAAACTTTTATAAAGTGAAGAATTATTCTGTTATGTAAAGTTATCATCTAGTCTATATTAAAATCTTTTTGTGGTAGGCAGAATAACAGCTCCCAAAGATGCCCATGTCCCCATACCCAGAACTTATAAATATGCTGCTCGCTTTAGCCTCCCAAAGTGTTGGGATTACAGGTGTGAGCCATTGCGCCCAGCCCAGCTGATCTTTAAAAAGGGAGATTATCCTGCAATATATGGGTGGACCCAGTGTAATCACAAGGGACCTTAAACGTGGAAGAGAGAGGCAGAAGTGTCAGCTGGTCAAAGTGATGCAATGTGAGGACTTGAGCTCACTTCAAAGCCACTGCTGGCCTTGAAGATGGAGGAAGGGTAACAGAAGCTGGGGAATGTGGGAAGCCTCTAGAATCCGGAAAAGGCAAGGAAACAGATTCTCCCAGGGAGCATCCAGAAAGGGACACAGCCCTGCTAACACCTTGATGTTAGCCCAGTAGGAACCATGTCAGATTCTTCATCTACAGAACTGTAAGATAATAAATTTGTGTTGTCGTGTGTTTAAAGCCACTAGATTTGTAAATTTGTGATAACTTGTTCCAGTAGCAATAGAAAACTAACACACTTTTAATATTGGGGCTTTTTTTTTTTTTTCCTAAGACAGTTTTGGCTAGTGACCTTGAAGTCTCTTCTGACTGTGAAATTATTTGACTCTATATAAATCAGGAACTCTTTATTCTATTCTTACTAGCTGACCTTCAGAAAAGACATGGCCTGCCTTCATTGATCAATCCCTTAAAGAAGGAAGAGTAAAATGAGAGGCTACTGTTTCTGCATGTCATTGTCCAAAGAAATGTTAACTTAAAAGAGGTGGAACATCTACTAGGAGCAGAAATAAGGTAAACCAGGACTTCTGAATTCTGAAAGTGTGGTATGTACTCCTAAGGGAGTTAAACTGTCCGTCTATCTACCTAGTGAGTAGAATGGGTTACAATCACAAAACATCAACCCCAGTCCCTATCATTCTGCTTACAGGGGCTTAGCCAGGCATTTACATTTTAAAAATTTGAATGCACTTAGGCAGGGCATGATGTAGACTCCTGTTCACCACAGTCCCCACCAATCTCAGGGATCTCAACTCTGGCCAGTACAGATATTACCCAATTGTCTCCATAAAGCTGATTTAGAGGCCAGCTATCAATGTTCTACTATAGCCGAAGTCAATATATAAAAATGCAAATAGGCCTTTGGGGATTCATATTTTATGGCATTACTAGTTATTACTTTTGATATCAGTTAACATCCCAAAAAGCAGGTTGCATCTGACATTAAACTAGTATGGAACTGGAAATATATTTTTAGGAATGTACATTAGGGGAATGGGGCAGGGACAGGTACATCTGAAAAGAGACAGTATTAAAAAGTTCCTAGGAAATAAAAAAAAGTACTGACAAAAGAAGTAAAATGGACTTAAAGTCAAATCAAATTAATTTCTTAATTTTGCTTAATGGTACTCCCAGTCACGCCACTCAGAAATCATCTTGTGTAGCTGGTGCAGTGGCTCCTGCCTCTAATCCTAGCACTTTAGGGGGCCAAAGCTGGTGGATGGCTTGAGCCTAGGAATTCAGGACCAGCCTGGGCAACATGACAAAAACCCGCCACTACAAAAAAAAAAAAAAAATTCAGCTGAGCGCAGCGGCATGCGCTTGTAGTCCCAGCTACTTGGGAGGCTGAGGTGAGAGAATCACCTGAGCCTGGGAACTTGAGGATGTTTTTGAGCCACGAGCACGCCACTGCACTCCAGCCTAGGTGACAGAACAAAATCCTGTCTTAAATAAATAAATAAATAAATAAATACCATCTTGTGACACACATAAACACAACAACTACCATTTAGAAGAAGCTGTTTTATGCTGGGTACTTTACAAAGTGCTTTACATACAGAGTCATTCATTCTAAGGACAATCCTGCAAGACATGTAGGATCAGCCTTCCTTACAGATGAGAAAAGGGGTTCAGGGAAATGAGCTCCTTTTCTAAGATCATATAGGTAAGAACAGGCAGAACCGAGACTCAAATAACCAAGATTCAAATCCAAAGTCTTTGTTCTCACTACACCAGCCTGACTCAGGCTTTTTAAGGTTCTAGCCTCCTTGTCATCCTTCAGCTGGCCACACTGTGAAGGCCTCCAGAGAAACAAGTCAGGGCACTGATAGTGGCAGGTCAATTGAGAAAGGTCTTCCCTTCCCAGTTTCCATGTGCTGCCTATTTCTGGCTTCCCGCCATTTGCTGAACTGTTTTGTTAAATGCTTTGATACTATGGTGACTAGCGCTGAGTAAATATCTAGTGTTGTTACGACAACCATAAAACACATCATCTAAACTTGTCTCATACAAATATACAAACTTTATGGGACAGTGGTAGCCACCGCTTGGGGAAGGGAAGAATGAGGAGTGACTGCTAATGGGTACGTGATTTCTTCCTGGAGGATAAAATGTTCTGGAATTAAATTGTACAACTTTGTGAATATACTAAAACCACTAAATTGTACCCTTTAAAAAGGTGAATTTTATGGTATACGAATTACAAGTTTTTTAAAACTACATGGAGATAATCAAATAGTCAGATATTAACAGGTGTTGGTGAAGATGGAGAGAAACTGTAACCCTCATACAGTGCTGGCAGGACTGTAAAATGGTGCAGTTGCTTTGGAAAACTGTTTGGCATAAAGTTACCATATGATCCAGCAATTCCACTCCTAGAGATATATAACGAAGAGAAATGAAAACACATGTCTCTACAAAAACTTGTACAGCAATGTCCATAGAATAGTCAAAAAGTGGAAAGAACCCAAACATCCCTCAGCTGATGTATAAATGAAATACGGTCTATCCATGCAACAGAATATTATCTGACCACAAAAAGGAACAAAGTACTGATATATGCTACAAAATGGGTCAACCATGAAAACATGTTAAATGAAAGAAGCCAGTCAAAGACCTTCTATTGTATGATTCCACTAATATGCAATGTTCAGAGTAGACAAATCTGTAGAAAAAGTAAGTAGATTAATGGCTGCCTCAGGTTAGGATGTCTAAGTGGAAGTAAGAAGTGGGTGCTAATATGTAAGTGGCTGCTTTGTGTGGTGAAGAAAACATACTAAAATTGACTGCTGATGGTTACACATCCCTGTGAGTATACCAAAAATCAGTGAATTATATATTTTAAGTAGGTGAATTGCATGTATATGAATTACATCTTAATAAAACTGTTTAAAAAACACATTAATTTCCATTGTTTTTCTCCCCCCAGGTAAGAATGTGAAAAATAATAATAAATAAGTAATGGTCATTAGTTTTTAGGATAATATTTACCTAAAGCTTTGCCATTTTAACTACAGTGAAAAATTTTTTCTTTTTCTTTTTTTTTTTTTGAGACAGGATCTCACTCTGTCTCCAAGTTGGGGTGCAGTGGTGCAACCATGCAGCTCACTGCTGCTGTGATCCTCCCACCTCAGCCTCCCAAGTAGCTGGGACTACAGGCACGTGCCACCATGCCCAGCTAATTATTTTACTTTTTGTAGAGATGAGGTCTCCCTGTGTTGCCCAGGCTGGTCACAAACTCCTTGGCTCAAGCAATCCTCCACCTTGGCTTCTTAAAGTGCTACAATTATAGGCATGAGCCAGTGCACCCGCCCTATAATGAAAACTTGTTGTAACACAGCTTGAAATCCTGCTTAGTTAAGCATATCAAGGGGATTCAATTCTCTTAAGGGGGAAAAAAAAAAGCTCATTATATGATGACAACTGGACTTCCCTGAGGCTAAGATCAAGGTTTTACCCATTGACACAAATACTGCCTCCAGCAAACCCATAAACAGTGACATGTCTCCTAATGACATGACTATTAGGAATGACATGACTATTAGTGACAAGAGTCCTGCACTATCATTTTTTTTCCAGTACTAGCCTTTGGACAGTAGTAATTGAAAAATGACTACAAATTAAACTAGACAAGGGAGCATAGAGTGAATAAATTTACTTTATTTTACATGTTCTTTTTTTTGGTCTTTTTTTTCTTTATTTTTATATTTTACATTTTCTAAAAAGTGTTACAAGAACATCTACCTACAAAAAACTGCATTTCTGGTTTGCAACTGAATATCATGTTTTTTATATGTCATTTCACATTTGAGAAGCTATTCAATTATTAGAAAAGTACACGTCTGAAAAATTTGAAACTTTATTTACTTAGGAGCTAAGAATTTAACCGAAAAATTAGAGTAAACACATCCTTGTCTAAACTCCTATGCATAAACTCTTTGCATTATTTTTGACATGGAGGATGGAAGCAAGATGGGAAACAAATGTAGGGGGCTTTTGCAGTACTCCAGCTGAAGATGCTGCTGAACTGTGGCAGTGAAGATGGAGAGAAACAGACTGACTTGAGAGATCACAGGGAGATAACATTACTCAGACCGGGTGATGGATACGTACTGAGAGACGACAGGCTGAAGCAAGTTCTTAGGGTGGGGTCCCAGCAACTAAACTCTGAGGGAAGCTTTCCAGGCAATACTAAAGCTTCTTCCCATTCTAGGTCTCTTCCACATCTAGAAAGGATTAATTCCACACCCAAAAGAATCCTATTCAGTTTAAAATTAAGGGTCCCCCATCTCAAACACCTGTGCCCTGCTAACTCACCCCAGGACACTCAGTCCCGCCTCGTCCATGGCCAGCCCGGGCAGACAGGAGTATCCTTTCTTTTAATTTATCAACAAAACTTAAAAGACAAACAAAAATGTATCTGTAAAATATAAAAACTCTATAGATGCACTAGAGGTGAATCACCACATTTTATTCAAGTATAGAGTATACCATCTCTACTATGAAATCTAAGAAACTCACAGCTTAAAAAGGAATTTCATAGATTTAGGTAGATGAAGATCATCATTATACAGACGACAACAACAAGGTAGAGACTGCTTCAGTCTCACCAAGTGACCTGGAATCATAAGATTTGTACTTGGGTTTTATAACTCCTCATTCTGTTTTCTTACTCTTTTGAGACAAGGTCTGGCACTATCGCCTAGACTGGAGTGCAGTGGCAGGATCTTGGCTCACTGCAACCTCCGCCTCCCAGGCTCAAACCATTCTCTCACCTCAGCCTCCCAAGTAGCTGGGACTACAGGTGCATGCCACCAGGCCCAGCTAATTTTTGTATTTTTTTAGAGATGGGGTTTCACCATGTTGGCCAGGCTGGTCTCGAACTCCTGAGCGCAAGTGATCTGCCCTGTCAGCCTCCCAAAGTGCTGGGATTACAGGTGTGAGCCACCACGCCTGGCCTTTCTTACTCTCTTAAACTCACTTTATATAAGATATAGAAAATAATGTTTAAAGTAAGCTGTATAAAGACTATCCCTAGATTTTATAAATCATATGTTTCAAATGCATTAGGGAATAGTAATTCTAAACATATCTTCTCACAGTATTATAAATACTAAATAACTTTAAATTATAAGCTGGGCCCACTGGTGTATACCTGTAGTCCCAGGTACTCAAGAAGCTGAGATAAAAGGATCACTTGAACCCAGGAGTTTGAAACTAACCTGGGCAAGGTAGCATGATCCTGTCTCTAAAATAAATATAATAATAATATAATCACACCTAAGAAAAGTGGAATAAAGACCATGGAAGGGAGGAGTAAAAGGACTCACAATCTTAAAGCTATGACTGACTCATAGGTATGCAACTAAGTATCAGTTCTTAAAGACATCACAAGATGCCTGTAATCCCAACACTTTGGGAGGCCTAGGCAGGAGGATCGCTTGAGGCCAGAAATTCAAGATCAGCCTGGGCAACAGTGCGAGATTCTTTATCTACAAAAATAAAAAGAAAAGAAAAATTAGTCAGGCATGGTAGCACATGCCTGTTGTCCGAGCTACTCCAGAGGCTGAGGTGGGAGAATCGCTTGTGCCTGGGAGATCAAGGCTGCAGAGAGCCATGGTCACGCCACTGCACTTCAGCCTGGGTGACAGAGTGAAACCCTGTCTTGAAAATAAAATAAAATCACAAAATCAGATTGAGAGGCCTGGTGAATTTGCCCTTGAATGATAGTTATAGAATAAACTGATTTATATATACATAGTACTGTAAATATCCTCTGCTTATTAGATCTTTTAAGAAATGCTTTTGCTGGGCACGGTGGCTCACGCCTTTAATCCCAGCACTTTGGGAGGCAGAGGTGGGCGGATCACGAGGTCAGGAGTTTGAGACCAGCCTGGCCAACATGGTGAAACCTTGTCTCTATTAAAAATACAAAAAAAATTAGCTGGGCATGGTGGTGCACACCTGTGATCCCAGCTACTCAGGAGGCTGAGGCAGGAGAATCATCTGAGGAAGGAGAATTGCTTGAATCCAGGAGGCGGAGGTTGCAGTGAGCTGAGATTGCACCACTGCACTCCATACTGGGTGACAGAGTGAGACTCGCCTCAAAAAAAAGAAAAAAAAAAAAAGCTTTCATATCCCTGGTTAAAAATTATTTTGAGTCTACTAAGAAAAAGATACAGGGACGTGAAAAGCCAAATTATGAGTTACATTAACCAGAAAGCCAGATTATGAATTATATTAAAAAGTTTTCAAATTACTTTATTGAATAAATATGGATTTTGTAGAAACTGAAAAGTTTTGTATTTTACTTCAAATTTTAAAAATACAAATAAAAAATACGATATAGACAGATATATTTCTAATTAACCAAAGAAGAGAACAGAAGATGAAGAGGCATTCTACTTAGTTCACTAGAGTCTGATGTAAAATCTGTTGGCTTGGGTAAAAAGTGGTACTACACTAAGGAATCCAGTCTAGGGCATACCAAAACTTTCTAGTCCCATATGTTTCTGATAAAAAAAATAACCAGAGGCTGCCTTTTCCCAAGGGGGCCCTGTGATTCAGGCCAAAAATTCCATAGCTCTAAACTTCAACTGCCAAACTGCATACCAAACAAGAAATACTCTGAATTACTTTTTAACCAAAGTGATACAGATAATTAGAACCAGATGTCTTATTCAACACTACATATTAAATTGTACATTAATATATGTTCCTGTATTTTATTTACCTGCTGAGTGAGATGGAAAGATCTATAAAGAGGTCACAGTAGCATCTAAACTCACAGGTTAGGGATCAAAGCCACAGGAATGACAGAAGGCAATTTTTAAGGTTGATATTGGTAGAAAATGGTCTAATTTATAAAGGAGGGAGAGGAGGCTGCATATATTTAAAGTACCTAATGTGAAAACATGTACAAAGGATGTCAATTTCAGCACTTTTTCTTTTCTTTTTTTTTGAGACGAAGTCTCACTCTGTAGCCAGGCTAGAGTACAGTGGCGTGATCTTGGCTTACTGCAACCTCCGCCTCCCAGGTTCAAGCGATTCTCCTGCCTCAGCCTCCAGAGTAGCTGGGATTACAGGTACACGCCACTGCACCCAGCTCATTTTTTGTATTTTTAGTAGAGATGGCGTTTCACCATGTTGGCCAGGCTGGTCTTGAACTCCCGACCTCAGGTAATCCGCCCACCTCGGCCTCCCAAAGTGCTAATTACAGGCGTGAGCCACCGTACCCGGCCTCAGCACTGTTTATGATAGTAAAAGACTGGGAAGGGCCATAAGGAAGTGATTAAATAAATTGTGTTACACCCATACGGTGGAACAGTGTGGAGACGTATCACACTGGAATATCATGCAGTTGGATCTACTTGTGCTGCGGCGGAACTAGCTCCAGAATATCGTAAGCAAAGAAGCAAGGTGCAGGACAGTAAACACAGTATGGGAGGGAAGGAGGTTCATTTTTAATTAATTAAAGAAGAGGATAAATACTATTTTAAACAATACCTGGTGGTATCTTCTTAGCAGTCCCTTTTTTGCTTCTTGGACTTCTTTTTCCAGGAATTTTTTTGTCCTTTCCCAAGAAGGCCTGTTCATCTCTGGAGGCTTCACAAAGGGTGTTTTGCAAGTTCTCACCTGCAGCCACCTCGCAGCTCAATGTGCAGCTTTCATTATTATTGAGACTGTCCTGCTCAGACACTTGGGGCTTTCCCATCGCACTGTCACTGCTGGTCAGATGCTCATGCCCGTCCCCGTCAAGCTGATTTTCATTTTCATCTGATGCAGAAGGCAGACAGGTCACACTCCTTTCCACGCTGTCACCAGGATGACATCCATCTTGTGGTTCTATTTGCAGATAATATGTAGGAGTATCGCTGTCATCCATTAGAGCATCCTTTGGTGAACCATTTAAAGTTACATTAAAGACCTTCCATGTCTACAATGACAAAAAGAAAAAAGCTACTTCATTTTCTAACCTTTGCAGATTCTCAGTGATCTTTGATTTTCCCCTTCTCTTAGGTTGTTTCATTGTAAATAGGGAAGAGAAGGAAATGACTTAAGTTCATTCCCTTTCACCATATGCAACCCAACCCCAAACTCAGCTAGTTCTCACATGAATACTACAGGTGTCAAGCCTGTCTCCTCATGATGATCACCTGAGAGGCTGCCCAAATTCTATTCTAGACCATTACATCAGAATCTCTGAGGATGGAACCTAGGCACCACTATTTTTCAAGTTCTCTAGGTAAGTCTAATGTGCATCAGGTTGGGACCACTGCCTGAATGAAATGACTAGTTAAATAGGTTATGTGCTGAAATTAGTCTCTTATGTTAATCCCTGGACACTCAGCAGACAACTGAAAGCTAGTTGTATAAGTTCTTCTCTGGCTAAACAGCAGCAATATTTGGAAATGAAAATGTTTGAAGATTTTAAAAAAAAATAACCTAGAAAAAAGTATGTGAGGGGAAGTTTAGGTAGCATATATTTATACTATCGTTTTATTTTTTATTTCCTAAAAATAAGCCCTGGAAGGTACCTTAGAGTTGTCATCAAAATCCTTTTGAACACTTAAAAAAAAAAAAAAAAAGGCCATGGTTAACTCTAGGCTACTCTTAGTGTAGAATTGGAAGAAATGCTAAATCTGCTTGAAGGATACCACTAATATTTTTAAAATTTACAAAACAGACTGCAAGCCCTTTATCAGTCATCTTTTATTTCCTCTTATTATCTACAAGTGTATTACATTTTAAGAAAAATGATAGGTATGAAAGAAATAATCCAGTAATTCTGGAAAAAAACCTCAGTGAGAGGACTTCTAAAGATTCTTCAACTTAATGAGTAGAAATGCTTAATCTTTAGAAACATGTAAAGTACAGTCTCTAAAACCATGAAAAGTACAAGATAAAATATTCACCCTATACCATTAAGGAAGGAGACCACCACTTCTCCTGCTGCCCTCCTCTCTCCCACTTTTGCCTAGTTTATAAGACAGGCGAAAAGGGAGAAAGCAAAAAGTTGGAAAGAAACAGAAGTAAGATAAATAGCCAGACGACCCTGGCACCACCACCTGGCCCTGGTGGTTAAAAAAATAATAATAATATTAACCCCTGACCTAAACTACTTGTGTTATCTGTAAATTCCAGACATCGTATGAGGAAGCCCTGCGAAACTTTCTGTCCTGTCAGCTGATGCATGTAGCCCCCAGTCACGCTCCCCACGCTTGCTCGATCTATCACGACCCTTTCACGTGGACCCCTTAGAGTTGTAAGCCCTTAAAAGGGCCAAGGATTTCTTTTTCAGGGAGCTTGGCTCTTAAGATGCAAGTCTGCCAAAGCTCCCGCCCGAATAAAGCCTCTTCCTTCTTTAATGAGGAGTTCATTAAAACTACAGAATGGGAGAAAATTTTTGCAACCTACTCATCTGACAAAGGGCTAATGTCCAGAATCTACAATGAACTCAAACAAATTTACAAGAAAAAAACAAACAACCCCATCAAAAAGTGGGCGAAGGATATGAACAGACACTTCTCAAAAGAAGACATTTATGCAGCCAAAACACACATGAAAAAATGCTCATCATCACTGGCCATCAGAGAAATGCAAATCAAAACCACAGTGAGATACCATCTCACACCAGTTAGAATGGCAATCATTAAAAAGTCAGGAAACAACAGGTGCTGGAGAGGATGTGGAGAAACAGGGACACTTTTACACTGTTGGTAGGACTGTAAACTAGTTCAACCATTGTGGAAGACAGTATGGCAATTCCTCAGGGATCTAGAACTAGAAATATCATTTGACCCAGCCATCCCATTACTGGGTATACACCCAAAGGATTATAAATCATGCTGCTATAAAGACACATGCATATGTATGTTTATTGTGGCACTATTCACAATAGCAAAGACTTGGAACCAACGCAAATGTCCAACAATGATAGACTGGATTAAGAAAATGTGGCACATATACACCATGGAATACTATGCATCCATAAAAAATGATGAGTTCATGTCCTTTGTAGGGACATGGATGAAGCTGGAAACCATCATTCTCAGCAAACTATCACAAGGACAAAAAACCAAACACCGCATGTTCTCACTCATAGGTGGGAACTGAACAATGAGAACACATGGACACAGGAAGGGGAACATCACACATCAGGGACTGTTGTGGGGTGGGGGGAGGGGGAGGGATAGCATTAGGAGATATACCTAATGCTAGATGACGAGTTAATGGGTGCAGCACACCAACATGGCACATGAATACATATGTAACAAACCTGCACATTGTGCACATGTACCCTAAAACTTAAAGTATAATAATAATAAAATAAAATAAAACAATAATAATAATGATTCAGGGTTTCTTAGCTGACATCTTCAACTGTGAGCTCTATTCTATACCTATGCTATTCAAAATGGTAGCCACTAACCACACAGGGCTATTGAGTACCTGAAATATGAACACACATTGAGGGACTCAATTTTTCATTTTTATAAATTTTAATAAATTTAAATTTTTAAATGGACATCAATTCAGTTACTGAAAAACTCAAGTATGTTTGGAATAACTTGGGTATGTGAATGTTTTTCACCTGTACATTTTATGAAATTGAAATATAGTTCAAGCATTTCCAATGAAAATTGTGTCCAAATTAAGATGTGCTACATTTATAAAATACATACCATATTTCAATGATTTAGTATGAATAAAATCAATATAAAAGAATTTATTAATTCTACACATTGATTGTATGTTGAAATAATACTTTAGATATATTGAATAAACTATTACTAAAATTAATTTTCCCTTTGAAAATTTTTAATGTGGTTACTAGACCACAAAATTACATATATGTCTCACATATTTCTATTGGACGATGCTGCTGTCTATGACATTGCCTTGACAGTGTCACAGTAGCCAAATATGGCTCATGGTGAATCACTCCATTCTGGATTCTTCCTTGCTAACACAAGTTATGCTATAGGTATTTCCTGGATATAGATATTATTATTACTGTAATTAAACAAATGCAAATACTTGTGGAAGGAAATAGATACTATTTAAAATTAATTTTTACCTCCTTATTTCCCATATTCACAATGTAAATCACTAGATCATGCTGTTCCTTTTTTTTTGTACTTCCCCATATTCCAAATACCCCTGGCACTTCATAAAAGTTAAATAGTATTGTCATTAAAACTAGTAAAACGGCCTTTCAGTAATCATTCTAAATACTTAAATTTCTACATAATAGTACAGTATAAAAGTAAATCACATTGTTTTAACATTTCTTTAATAAAAATAAAAAATATAATTTCATAAAGATTTAGTTCTTCATTTAGCAAAAAGAAAGGCCACAGAAGAGAAAATTTATGCTATAAGGTAGGCAAGAAGGATAAAAATGTGACAAAGTTACAAGACACAAAAGGAAAAACAAGAATAAATGTGAAGATAATGATTCTAAGGGAAAAAAACATCAAATACAGATTTTCGGTTATGAAGAGAAAGCACTGTTAAAAATATGAAGAAATTAACTGAAACTATGTGACTCATATTCCGAAAAAAACCTTGGGGCAGATAAAGTGAATGAAAGGAAGCATAATTTGTTTCATATTCCTCAATCCTGCCTTTCACAATGGGGCTTGGTTCAAGATCGCTTATGTATTTACAGGGCTTTTGAGTTCAAAATCCATTACATAAATGGAAATGACAGGTCAAAAGCCTCATTGTGGGTATACCCAAGCAGTATGAAGATAAAGAGTCATCTCTCTTCTCTTTTCCTTCTCTTATGCACAGATATACACAAGTTTTACTTAAATAAACAAAAGAGAAGTAAACACATCCAAATTGTGCTTATTTGGTTTTAAATACCTCTTTGTTGTAAAAATGTACTGCAATCATTCTTTTAAGCCACAACCAACAGAATCTAAGACTTGAAAATACTTTGGTTCAGACTATAGCCACCTCTTTTAAAACAAAAATCATGTTTACTGCCTGTATCAACTATATATCCTCATGGAAACTGTCTTATACTTTACTCATTAAATAGACACATAAAACTATACATTGTTTTAAAATGTCAATTCTTGAAAATACAATGGCAAAAGCAAATAATTTATTAGAACCTTCTTTTAAGATGCCTGACAAAATAGCTTGCATTATCTGAATAAAATGCTGAGACTAGTCGGGCACAGTGGTGTGGCCTGTAGTGTCAGCTACTCAAGAGGCTGAGGTGAGAAGCTTGCTTCAGCCTGGGAGTACCAGACCGGCCTGCGCAACATAGCAAGACTCCATCTCTTTAACAGTTATTGAAGATTTACTAAGTATCAGTGTTTTAAGTTTATTACATATATATAATTTAATCCTTATAAGTCCTATAAAGTAGTTCTAAAATTATTTCCATTTTTTATAGAAGTAAACAGCAATAGAAAGATTAAACGCATAGGCCTCAGTCACGCTGCTATTATGTGGCAAAGCCAGGATTCAATTTAGAATCTGATTCCAGAGCCTGTATCCTTAACCACTATAATCATTTTTAAATTACTTTTAAAAACCAGCTGTTTTCAGGTGTATATGTTGTAAATACCAAATTGCTACTTTAAGGAGGCCACAAAATGAACAATTTCCAATATCTTGAGATGTTTTCCAAATATGTACAATGTAGAAAAATAGGTTACACAGCAAATAAAACCCACCAATAAGACTCTTTATTTGCTGCATTCCTTTAATGTTATGAGTCCATTTCTTCAGGTTTATATGTTGGGCTATATAACCGCCCCATTAGAAATTATCGTAAGATCTCTGACATTCATCTTTGTGCATTTAGAAAAATTTTTACCAGGCAGGCCACAGATACTTACTGAACCAACATCACGTTAAAAAAGAGGGACTAACATGCAAGAGTCTCCAAACTTTGGTGGTGTACTTATATTTATATATTTATATATTATTTATATATCTCAGATATAGCTAAGATATATATGAGATACATAAGATATAGCTTGCATATATATCATATATAGATATATATAAAAGATATGTTATATATTTGATATATCTTTGATATAGATCTTTTATATATCTATGTATCTTATTTATCTCATATAAAGTTGATATAGATGATACATAAGATAGAGCTTGTATATGTATCTTATATATAGAAATATATCAAAGATATATAGCTTTATATATAATATATATCAGATATAATAAAAGGTATATATTATATATACTATATAATAAAGATACATATCAAAGATATACCATATATCTTTGCTTATAAGCATACTATCAGTAATATATACACACACACACACACACACACACACACACATATATATATATATATATCTCCCCCTCTCCCCCAAGACATGGTCTCACTTTGTCCCCCAGGCTGGAGTGCAGTGGCAAGGTCATAGCTCATTGCAGCCTTGAACTCCTGGGCTCAAGCAATCCTCCCACCTTAGCCTCCCAAATAGCTGGGACTACAGGTGCGTGCCATCACATCCAGCTAATTTTTAAATTTTTTGTAGAAACAGAGTCTCACTATGTTGCCCAGGCTGGTCTCAAACTCTTGGCCTCAAGTGATCCTGCCACCTCAGCCTCCCAAAGTGCCAGGATTACAGATGTATGCCACCACGCCCAGCGTAGGCAAAGAAACTGATCGTTGAGTATACCCACTGTAGGTATATCTGTTCATAAATCATATGCACTTATGCTGTATACATATATAGTGTGTGTGTGTGTGTGTGTGTGTGTGTGTGTGTGTGTGTGTGTGTATATTTTTTTTTTTTTTTTTTTTTTGAGACAGAGTCTCTGTTGCCCAGGCTGGAAGGCAGTGGTGTGATCTTGGCTCACTGCAACCTCTGCCTCCCGATTCAAGTGATTCTGCCGCCTCAGCCACCTGAGTAGCTGGGATTACAGGCATGCACCACTACGCCTGGCTAATTTTTGTATTTTTAGTACATGCAGGGTTTCGCCATGTTGGACAGGCTGATCTCGAACTCCTGACCTCAAGTGATTTGCCCGCCTCGGCCTCCCAAAGTGCTGGGATTACAGATGTGAGCCAGCACCTGGCTCTGTCATTTTAAACATGTGCAAAAACAAACATAAGAAAGCTTGTACTTCTGGCAAGGGCAGACTGGCTCATTTCAGACAAACCCCTCCTGCTGATCACTAGAAAAGCTGGCAGAAAGCTTCAGTTTGGAAGCCGGAAAAGCTGAGCAGAGTGTTGAGCAGGCTCACAGAGCTGGACGAAAAACCAGAGTTCGAGGTCTTCCAAGAAGAGGGGACCACAGGCCTTGCGGTGGGACCTAAAAGTGATACTCCCCAGAAGAAAAGGCAAGCCTGAAATAGATCAGTGCTCACAGGGACTAAGGCCCAGCAGAATCAATCATCTAATCTCTGGTTGAATTAAGGTGGTCTGTTCTAACCTGTTGCCTGCCAGAAACTAAAGTCAATCCTCTCTGCAAGATAAATCCAGCAAAGGCTGAAACTATTTCCACAACTTTTCATATGTAATATTCAGTATATAATCCAAAACAACCAGGCATACAAGAGATCACGTCTTGATTTAAAAAAGAAAACTGGGGGAAAAAAACAGCAGAAACAGACTCATAGGAGATCCATATACCGGAGGCAGGGAGGGAGTGGTATGTTGGGAGCAAGGAGTTGGGGAGCATATAGAAGGTTTAAAATAGCCAGTGTGGGAAACTGAACAGTAACTGTCCTGGCAGCTGTGGAGGACTGCAGGGCTGCCGGGACGGTCTACTGAGATGAGTTCCACTACACACTCCGTCTCCATTCGACTTGGTTTCATACACTGTCTTCAAATCAATCTCATCATGCAGATCATCCACAATCTGGCTAAAAGAATCCTGTACCTTAATCTTCTACTTGAGTACAAAGTATCAATAAGACTGATACCTACGCTGGAATTTTTTTCATCATAATGGAAAGACCAGGTTTCTTCAGTCTATCTCGACACCAATTTTCATTTGTGCTCCCTCTTTATTCTTGACTGCACCGCCATTCTTCCCACTTTATGTGGACATCTGAATGCATTTTTTGAAACTCTTGCCCCTGGTTTACTTCACTTAAAGAAAATTAATTCTTAAAATGTTGACTTATATAAGTGAATTTGAAATTTCATATTTCTTAGCGATTTCGGATTCTTCTAACATAGATACATCACTGAATTCTTATACCTATACAAGAAAGCCAACATATGTGGCTGGGCATGGTGGCTCAGCACTCTGCGAGGATCGCTTGAGACCAGGGATTTAAGACCAGCCTGGGTCTTGAAGCGAGACCCCATCTCTACAGACACTCTAAAATATTAGGTGAGCTTGGTGGCGTGTGCCTGTGGTTCTAGCTACTCAGGAAGCTGCGGCAGGAGGACTGCTTAAAGCCCAGCAGTTCAAGGCAGCAGTGAGCTATGACCATCCCTTCACTCCAGCCTGGGAAACACAGCAAGACCTTGCCTCTTAAAAAGAAAAAAAAAGTACAGTTACAGGCAAATTCACATATATTTTCTTCTGCCATCCTCATTGTCTACTTTTTCTTATCTTGAAAAATTATGATATAATGTTGCCCTTTGAATGGGAACACGATGCTCCTGCCCCACATTCAGAGGAACACTGGTTTTAAACTGCTTATGCAATACAAGTGCTAATTCTTTGTCTTACCCAGTGCTCTTTGTAACCAAAAGCCACTTGGCCAGCATTCAAGGTTACTATGAGGACATGAAACAAAGCAAATAAGTCTCCACATGAGACTGAACTCTGACCTCAGAGCTTTAACTAAACTTCACCAGCCTTCAGGGTAATCAATTTTGAGTGTCTACAACAAACAAGATCCACATACTAAATACAATGAGGCAAGAGAGAGACAGATGAGACACAACATGCCCTGAGGACTATATATTCTAAAAGTAGCTAATAAAAATACAAGAGCTGATACTCTAGCAGGTAATGAATTATACGCTATGTCTATAAACCCTGCCCTAACATTCCTCTTCTCTCAAAAAAACTTTGCTACAAAGAAGAATGTGATCAATGACAGGCAATTTCTTTGAGAGTCAGAGGAATGAAGGTTACTTTTACTGTGGAAAGGTGTAATGCGTGAATATTTGAGAATATCCAATTCCATTACAGAAAATCAAAGATACAAATAAAAGAGATGAAAATAAGTGCAGAGCAAACAGCGTGAGAAGTTAGACACAGAGAAAGTAAACAGGGCATCTGTATGGTAAACACAGGAAGGAATGAAAGCACTCATAACCACCAAATATTCACAAGACCAGAGGAGACACAAAATACTCATGAAGGTACTGATATTCATGAGGTATTAAATCAGCCAATCCAATTGGTAGTATCCATTTCTATACCTACAGGCCCCCCTGCCCAAGAAACACAGATGAAATCCACAGCTGCTCATCACGCTAACGGGCGGACAACAGGGTCAGGGAGGTCCCTGCGTTTCTCAGACAGGGCGAATGAGTGCTGGCCCCAGGCACCTTCAATCTGCTGAGCTGCCTTGTTCATCTTCAGCCACGGTCTGGAGGAAATGTTGATATAGCAGATAACACTGGACAAGAGGACATTGTAACCCAGCTCTGAGATGGTGTGTTCCCTCCATTCTACTCGTACCTGAGGTGCATGGAGAGGTAATCTCAAGAGAAGAAATAAACAGGACCAAATAAAAAGGTGAGGAAGTACAGAATGAACAGCGAATAGTTAGACTTTGGAATAAGAGTGCTGAAGTAAAGTAGTGACGAGCCTGATAAACGGAGGCGGGGCCAGAGCCCAGTACAGGAATTGAGACCAGCGCTTTTCAGACTATCTGTTGTGAAAGACCATCTTTTCTTCCCCTAGTGGGCCATGAACCAATTACTAGGGGGTAAAGGGGAGAAGGATACAAAACGTAAGCCCGGCCAGGCTCAGTGGCTCGTGCCTGTAATTCCAGCTACTAGGGAGGCTGAGGCAGGAAAATCACTTGAACCTGGGAGGCGGAGGTTGCAGGGAGCCGGGATCACACCACTGCACTCCAGGCTGGGAGACAGGGACTCCACCTCAAAAAAAAAAAAAAGCATGGAGGTGGAGTTCACAGTTTGCAGGACTGAGTAGATGTGGAAGGTAAAAGACAGTTATGAACCCACCTCCAGGTACAGGTCACTCTATGCTGATAACTGTCAGTAACAGATGGTGAGAGATAGAATACAGTGGGAGAAGGCAGAGGAAAGAAAAACAGCAACAGCAAAGTCGTGTTTAACTTCGTTTTTTGATTTGTGTGAAGGGCCAGTAAATCTGATAACTCTTAGCATATGGATCTGAAAAATTTCATCTTGCTAAATATAAGGAGTACATACATATAAGGTTATTAACAACTGCGTACTTGACTTATATGAAAGTTTACAACCATCTTTTAAGCTGTAATGAAAAGACACTTCTATTTAAAAAAACCCCAGTTAAAGGATATTATATTATACTGGATACCATTAAATTAATTAGATATAATACATATTGCAAAAATACTTTTGCCTATGATATTAGCAGACATCTCATAAAATTTTGCCTATAAAACATTTTTCATTTCTCCCTACAGAATCCAGCTCAGACATATGAATAAAAAATAATATAAACCAAGTACTAACGGGCTGCTGGTAAAGGGCATCTCCTAAGCTACTAACGTTTCTTCAAAGCCACAAAGAACACTTTATCAGCTATTTACTTATATTGCTTTTGTAAAAGTTTATAAGAAATGGAAAATGTAAAATGCAATGTCCTCTAGAACACATTAGGAGTTTGCAGCTGTAATGGAATGTTTTTAAGCAACCATGTGCTTTACAAGGACCCAGACTACGTTTCTAAAAGATTGGGATGGGCCGGGTGTGATGGCTCACGCCTGGAATCCCAGCACTTTGGGAGGCCAAGGTGGGCGGATCACCCGAGCTCAGGAGTTCGGGACCAGCCTGACCAACATGGAGAAACCCTGTCTCTACTAAAAATACAAAATCAGCCAGGCGTGGAGGCGCATGCCTGTAATTCCAGCTACTCGGGAGGCTGAGGCAGGAGAATTGCTTGAACCCGGGAGACAGGTTGCAGTGAGCCAAGATTGCGCCATTGCACTCCAGCCTGGGCAACAAAAGCAAAACTCCGTCTCAAAAAAAAAGATTGGTATGGGTAGAAAAAATACAGCATGGAGACACTGATGAAGTTTCATCCAATGTGGCTGTTACCATATCCATGTATGGGAATGGTTAAAGAAGAAAAGCATACAATTGCAATGAAAATACAGGACAGAAATAGCAACTAAAGACAGAAGATTATTACTCAAGGAAGTATCAGGATGTGAGTGGATATTTCGATGAATTACATTTTTTTTACATGCTATAAAGAAACCTTCAGGCTGGGCGTGGTGGCGCATGCCTGTAATCCCAGCACTTTGGGAAGCCAAGGTGGGGGGATCACTTGAGGTCAGGAGCTCAAGACCAGCCTGGCCAACATGGTGAAATCCCGTCTACTGAAAATACAAAAATTAGCCGGGTGTGGTGGCGCGCGCCTGTAATCCCAGTTACTCAGGAAGCTGAGGCGGGGCAATCGCTTGAACCCTGGGGGCAGAGGTTGCAGTGAGCTAAGATCATGATACTGCACTCTAGCCTGGGCAACAGAGTGAGACTGTCTCAAAAAAAAAGAAAAAAAAAGAAACCTTCAGAAAGACACCAATGTTCTCAAAATTAAATCCCCGTAAAATATGCTGAATCTTTAAAAGATAATTCAATTAGCATCAGCAATACAGAAGGGAGTAAAGAGATACCTCCTTTTTGCATGAAGCCAACCAAATATTTGAAGGTCTGCTATGAACAAAGTACTGTGGAAGTTAATAGAATCCATTTAGAAAGAAACGTCTGAAAATTCTGCTTCCAGTCCTCCTGAATAAGTCTTCTAATCAGAGAAGTGCAATTTCATAACTGTTCTTACCTTTCTCTCTGGTCTTTAAGGTATATTAAAAAAAAAGTATATTGGTAAATGGCAAAATAATGTCCAACTGTCTGTAATGAAATGATTAGGGATTATTTTTAGAATTTACTCAAAAGAGTACAGTATTTCATGCATTCATTTAATTTCTGACCACAAATACTTTAAATGCTACCTAACCCTTAATATTTATATGTCCAGAATGAAATCTACATACAGTTCTCAAAAAAAGGTACAAGAGATTATTTATTTAAAAAAAATCTAAGGAAACCATCAATAAAAGAGAAAACTGGTAATGTTACATCTTAATTTTTTAACCTTAGAAATTTAGTACAGTTTATTACCACTTTCAAGAAGATAAGCCCCGTCATTCGTAAGTACCAGAAGTTCCCTTTCAAAACAAGAACTAAGACTAGAGATAAGACAGAGCAGTAAGAAAGGAAGCTCTAATTTTGGAGTCATTCCCTTCTCAGTGCAAATACAGTTTTCTGATACTCGCCAGCTGTGAAATCTTAGTCAAATTAGTTCAACTCTATAAGCCTTTGTTTCTTTGCTGTAAGAATAAAATGAGACAATTTATGGGAAACTGCTAAAGTCATCCATAAAGATAAATTAAGAACATCCTTGTAAATAGTCTCCAGATGTCAACCGCTAGAAATTTTGTTTTATTTACTCTGCTGAGGACTCTGTGTGATTTTTATTTTTATTTATTTGAGACAGAGTCTCACTCTGTCGCCCAGGCTGGAGTGCAGTGGGGCAATCTTGGCTCACTGCAACCTCCGCCTCCCAGGTTCTAGTGATTCTCCTGCCTCAGCCTCCCAAGTAGCTGGAATTACAGGTGCCCACCATTTTTGCATTTTTAGAAGAGATGGAGTTTTACCATGTTTCCTGGGCTGGTCTTGAACTCCTGGGCTCAAGTGATCCTCCTGTTTTGGCCTCCCAAAGTGTTGGGATTACAGGTGTGAGCCACCTAGCCCAGCTACTGGCTATTTGTGAATCATGAATTTTCTAGTGATAGCAAGATGCATAGCACTAAGAGTTCAATAATCACATTTGTTGTCATCACTGAAACAGCATTGCTCCTTGGGAGGAAGAGCTTATAATAAGGTAGTGAAAAGCACACATGCAGAACCTAATGGGCAACAAGGCAGAATGAATACATACTTAACAGAAACAGGAAAGAGAAAAAGCTGACCAGGGATCTGCAAAGTCACAGGATGATAAATGGACACTCTCTGGTAACATCAATTCACTTCTAAAGGTGAGGATGGAAGAGAGATGCTAATTTTATGTTAACACAAACAGCTATTATAGAGCAGAATATACAAAATATAAAATTCCAAAAAATATTTAAGCTCAAATAAATCACTTTATAGAAATGTTTATGTTTAAGTCTATTGTGAGAAGTGACCGTAATACCAGAGTATGAGAATAACAAGACACATTTATATAGTGCTTACGCTTTGCCATGCATATAGTAACAATTCCTCACAACAGTCCTATTAGGTAGTTATTATTAGCA
Source organism: Homo sapiens (assembly GCF_000001405.40). Lineage (NCBI taxonomy): Eukaryota > Metazoa > Chordata > Mammalia > Primates > Hominidae > Homo > Homo sapiens. The sequence goes on along the minus strand of NC_000001.11, from coordinate 246,578,945 downwards.
CTAGCATTTTACAGACAAGCAATTTGAAGCACTAATAGGTAAAGCAACTCATCCAAAGTCAAACAGTTCTCAGAATTAGGACTCAACCTAGGCAGACTGGCTCCAGATTCTGTGCTGCTTGTGGTATGTAGGGCAGATTCCATAAGCAAGATGGAATTTGAGCTGGGGTTGAAGAGTTTGATAAGTTAGGAGGAGAAGGAGGAACAGAAATTGTAATAATACTATTTAGCCTTAGAAGAGGCCAATTATAATTTGAGGCAATAGTTTTTTTTTTTTTGAAACGGAGTCTCTCTGTTGCCTAGGCTGGAGTGCAGTGGCACGATATTGGCTCACTGCAACCTCCGCCTCCCGGGTTCAAGCAATTCTCCTGCCTCAGCCTCCCGAGTAGCTGGGACTACAGGCACGTGCCACCACACCCAGCTAATTTTTTGTATGTTTAGTAGAGACGGGGTTTCACCGTGTTAGCCAGGATGGTCTCGATCTCCTACCTCATGATCCGCCCACCTCAGCCTCCCAAAGTGCTGGGATTACAGGCGTGAGCCACCACGCCCAGCCGAAGGCAATGGTTAATACAGAATCCACACTGAAACATTTTCAGAGACCCATTTTTTAGAGCACGATAATTTTAGAGCTTATTTTAAAGCACTGTAACTTATTTGGTATTTAGTAGACACTGTCTCGAATTTGCTTATTTATTGTTTTAGAATTTTTCTCAAGTTATTTCATGCATATATATTATTTCCCATCTGGAATTCAAGTGCTTGAATGCTTGCAGCAGGAGAATGTGCCCATTACTTCTTTTACAATCCTCACCAAAACATAGCCCAGGCATATGAACGGTGTTTAATTAATGTTTGTTCAATTGAACTACAATACTAAAGTCTCTCACTACCTTTTACCCAAGGAAACAGATGTAGAAAAAAATGGTTATATCTCTAAAGATGATGTTTAAAATGTACTTAACAACAAAAAAACCACAAGTATTATCTGGTAGGAAACAGAAGAGGGAAACTTGAGAACAGAGGATATTTTTGTCAGTGAAAGATTAATACAGGGACGAGTCAGCAAAGTCCAAAAAAGAAGCATGAATTAGTAAAAACGCAAAGAAATGATAGGTGTGAGCCACCATGCACAGACTGTTTTAGTTCTTTTCTAAAGTGGGTATGAGATAAATGGAATTAGGCCAGGGTCAAATTTATTTTAACCTAGCCTTTCCACTTTTGTTTCTTCAACTACAATTTTACTTGAAAGGTTCACCTCACATTCTTGACTAGGTTTCTCGGCTACAGAAAAACATGAAAGAGAATTCTATGCCCATTAAAAAGGCAAAATGAAAATCTGTGAACTAAATGGGATAAAACTGGTTCCTGTAAGAATTATGACCACCTTTACCGAAATTTTTAAAACTCATTGTTTTACTAACAGGATGCTCCTGGAATTTTAAAGGTAAAGTCTGAACAACAGTAGAGTAACCTCAAATTCCAAGCACAAGTGAAGACAAACTTTGAGTAACAGCTACAAAAAGGTAGTACTTTAATCCAAAGTTCAGTTCAAAATAAACACAGAGGATAGTAGAGGGTCTAGAAAGAGAACCGGAATAAGGAGGTACCAGTAGGAAGAGGCTATAAAGGGAGTGACGCTGTGGTGGGGCGGTATGGAGGACAGGTGAGAACAACAAAGTCATAACAACAGGAAAACAGGGTTTGCTTGTACTGTTGAAATTTACTTCATGAGAAGTATCAGTTCTGAAGAACATTTTTAATCACAAAAGCATTTTCACCTGAATAATTCCTTTAGCACATGTTCTTTTCCCTACTGAAATGAAAGATGCCCATCTTAGTAATCTTCAAAACAGCCTATTAATTTGGCAATGTCCCGTCAAAAGCTAGAAAAGGGAGGGCAAGATGGTTCTAAAAACATAAAAACCTAATCCAATTTTTAAAAAATTTTAAGGTAAAAACATGTTAGAATGAGACTTCCAAATGTTTCCACTCTGGTGCTTGCCTGAAGTCTGAAGGCCAAGTTCCCATGGATTCCTACAGGCGAAATTAATCTCCTTTATCTTAAAGCACTGTGGATGTGGGTGGAGGGTAGGGGGTGGTAGCCAAGGGAAGGGGTAATAGGATAAAAAGAATTAAGAAATATAATTTGTGGCTGGGTGCGGTGGCTCACGCCTGTAACCCCAGCACTTTGGAAGGCTGAGGGGGGTGGATCACCTGAGGTCAGGAGTTAGAGACCAACCTGGCCAATATGGAAAAATCCCGTCTCTATTAAAAATACAAAAATGTGCCGCGCGTGGTAACATGCCTGCGGTCCCAGCTACTAAAGAGGCTGAGGCAGGAGAGTCACTTGAACCTGGGAGGCAGAGGTTCCAGTGAGTGGAGATCATACCACTGCACTCCAGCCTGGGTGACAGAGTGAGACTCCATCTCAGAAAAAAAAAAAAGGATGTAAAAACATAATTTTTATGTGCTTCTAACTCTAACACAATTAAACCAAAACAAATTTACGAATTATGACATGCAAAAAAAATCAATAAAGTTAAAATAATAGTCACTGAACACGATGCTGCTCTGTAAAAATTAAAGTTTTGTTCACTAGTGGAATACGGTATACACTGTGACTGCACGGTTATCATAGGCACGTGAGGATCCAACTCTCCCACCACCAATTACTGAGAAATCTTTGTTTCTTTTTTTTTTTTTTTTTTTGAGACGGAGTCTGGCTCTGTCGCCCAGGCTGGAGTGCAATGGCGCCATTTCGGCTCACTGCAAGCTCCACCTCCCGGGTTCAACCAATTCTCCTGCCTCAGCCTCCAGAGTATCTGGGATTACAGGCGCCCGCCACCATGCCTGGCTAATTTTTGCATTTTTAGTAGGGACACGGTTTCACCATGTTGGCCAGGCTGGTCTTGAATTCCTGACCTCAAGTGATCTGCTCGCCTCGGCCTCCCAAAGTGCTGGGATTACAGGCGTTACAGGCGCGAGCCACCGCGCCCAGAGAGCACTGAAATCTTATATGAGAATGTTGTTTTAAAGTGTCAGTATTGTTCTTGAATAAGCTTATATTATTTTTTATCATTGAAATAAAAATAGGGAATTTTTAAAAATGCTAATTACTTTTTTCCTCTTCCACTTCTCTGTATTTTACATATTTTCTATGATAAACTTGTATTTTTTCTAGTTGAGTTTCATGACACCTTTATCGACATATAATTCATATACCATACAATTCACCCACTTAAAATGCACAATTCAATAGCTTTTAGTATTCACAAATTGTACACAATCAATTCTAGAACATCTTATCACCCCGAAAAGATCCCCCCTGCCCTACATACCCACTAGCAGTGATTTCCCATTCTCCTGCACCCCCACCACAGCCCCAGGCAATCACTCAAACCACTCATGTACTTTCTGTCTCTATAGATTTACATATTCTGGACATTTCACGTAAATGGAATTATACAATATGCGGTCTATTGCAATTAGCTTCTTTCACTCAGCATGTTTTCAAGGGGTATCCATGTTGTACTATATACTGATACTTCATTTCTTTTTATTGCCAAAGAATCTTCCACTGTACAGATATACCACCTTTTATTTATCTATTCATCAGTTGATGGACATTTGGGCTGTTTCTACTTTTTGACTCCTGTGAATAATGCTGTTATAAACATTTGTGCACGTTTTTGTCTGAACACTTGACAAAAGGTCAGGAGGTCAGGAGTTCAAGACCAGCCTGGCCAACATGATGAAACCCCGTCTCTACTGAAAATACAAAAATTAGCCAGGCTTGGCGGCGGGTGCCTGTAATCCCAGCTACTCGGGAGGCTGAGGCGAGAATCACTTGAACCCGGGAGGTGGAGGCTGCAGTGAGCCAAGATCGTGCCACTGCACTCCAGCCTGGGCAACAGAGTGAGACTCTGTCTCAAAAATAAATAAATAAATAAATAAATAAATAAATAAATAAAATACTTGAGGAAGATTTGTTCAGATTTGTTCTTTGACTCACTATGACTTTCCTTCATAATCTATTAAATTATTTTTGTTTTAAATAAAATACTACTAAAAATGATGCTTTTACATAGGAATCCTTATAAAGCCATAGCTGCTTATAAGAGAGATTTAGGAAGGACATGCAATAACCAACCAAGTCAAACTGATGCTGTGGTTGTTGTCCTTTTTTGAGTAACATATTCCTTGAAAAATCTGATGAAAGTTGAGAATTCCCTCTGAAAAATACACGTATTGTGCTTTGGGAGGCCAAGGCTGGAGGATCGCTCCTGGAGGAGGCCAGGAGTTCTAGACCAGCTGGGGCAACACAGGGAGGCCCTATCTCTGCAAAAAGTTAAAAAAAAAAAATTAGACTGCATACCTGCAGTCCCAGCTACTAGGGAGGCTGAAGTGGGAGGATTGCTTGAGTCCAGGAGTTTGAGGCTGCACGGAGCTATAATCTTGCCACTGCATGGCAACCTGGGTGATAGTGCGACAAGCTGTCTCTAAAAAAAATTTTTTTTAAAGAAAAAGAAAAAACACGAATTTTTGAATAACCATGTTTTCCTCAAGTTAAAATTTATTTATCTTTTTAAAAAATCTTTGGAGCGGCTGGGAGCGGTGGCTCACGCCTGTAATCCCAACACTTTGGGAGGCCGAGGCGGGCGGATCACAAGGTAAGGAGATCGAGACCATCCTGGCTAACACGGTGAAATCCCGTCTCTAATAAAAATACAAAAAATTAGCCGGGCGCGGTGGCGGGTGCCTGTAGTCCCAGCCACTCCGGAGGCTGAGGCGGGAGAATGGCGTGAACCCAGGAGTAGTGGAGCTTGCAGTGAGCTGAGATCACGCCACTGCACTCCAGCCTGGGCAACAGAGCGAGACTCAGTTTTATTAAAAAACATCTTTGGAGCATTATTACTTCTGTAATCAAGAAGGAAAAAAGAGGCAAAGATGTGTACTTCTACCCCCCACCACTTCGAGTTTCTAATAAAATATGCCTATTCTGACCTGTCAGCTTTCCATGGAAAAAACTAAAAGGTGAGGGAAGGCAGAATAATCTATAGAGACATTCTGGGCACATTTTTTCACTTACACTGAAGAGCTGGAGGAAAATGGAAACTCTCCAGCAAAGGCTATACAAAGTACGTGGTTTTACACAAAGCGTTACACAAGTACATGGAAGCTTTAGTTACAAAACAGATATTCTTAGAATATGTTTCCTCAGCCCAGATAAGTGTTCCTGGAGCAGAAATTTTGCTCATAAGGTTTTTGCACTCGCAGCTGTTCTCTTTGAGGCTTCAGGGAAGGCAAGCCATGGACACACAGGTTAAAGCTCTGTTGGCATTCACCGGGCAATCCCTAGGTTTTCCCCAGCTATGCAGTGGAGACAGGAAGGATAAAAAGCCCGCAGGCATCAGAATGCACGAAACTATAACCAACCAAGAGGCCACCTGATATAATAAAAACTAACTTCTTGAATTAAATACTATTTTACTTTAGGTTATTTTGAAATACAGCTTTCTCTGGCTAGTGAAAAGATGAGCTTTGGTGAATATATGATCTAACAGATTAATTTTAAAACAAAAGTTCAAATGTAATGGTAATAAGACAATCTTCTTCCAAGTCACAAGACCTATATTACATGATTAAAGTAGGGAAGAGCAAGGGTATTACCTCTAATTTTGGCTCTTTACAGTGCTTATCCAATGCTACAGGTATAACTCTAACTGGCATGCCGAAGAACTCCACAACAAAATTTTTAAAATACTTGTAGCAAGAAGAATCTAGAGATTGCTGTGTAAATCATTTAAAATAAAGCCTGATGGCTGAATTTGAATTAAGATGCCAAAAATGGGTATCAATAATGACTTTTCCAGGAAACTACATTTCACAATATCATAACCAGTATAATTTGCACAAACGTCCACCCCTCTTTTCATGTGAGTTGACGCTGAGGGAGGAAATCCTGTTGGTTACATGAATCCTTGTAAGATCCAATTTAAGTAAACTTTTTCATGCTTCACAAGTGGAAAAAAAAATCTAAAATGTTAGTTGTTGTTTCATGAGGTAAAAACAAATAACTCAGGCCTGGTGCAGTGACTCACACCTGTAATCCCAGCACTTTGAGAGGCTGAAGTAGGCACTCTGCTCGAGCTCAGGAGTTCAAGACCACCCTAGGCAACATGGCGAAACCCTGCTTCTATTTTTCTAAAAAATTAATAATTAAAAAAACCACATATCACACACATAAATAAATAACTCCACTATTTATTATTCAATAAATAAAACATACATTTGGCTGGGAGTGGTGGCTCACGTCTATAATCCCAGTATTTTGGGAAGTCAAGGCAGGAGGATCACTTGAGCCCAGGAGTTCAGGACTAGCCTGGGCAAAACAGTGAGATCTCATCTCTAAATAACAAACCACACACATTTTCACAAAAATCCTTATTGAAAAATCTTAGGCAATGTTTTTCAGTTCATCTAAAAATTATTTTTAAGATTTAGTTGTATACTGGGAATAAAAGCTGCAGAAGAGAAAAATAATGAACAAGGACAATGCATACAAAAAATCAAAATATAAGCAGTATACTATCAAATACTCAAGGACAGCAGCATTTGATCTTATAAAGTTCCCAAATTTTTTAATAACTTATTTCAAAATCTATAATATAAAAAAGTATTTAATTCATTTATGTATGTATTTTTGAGACAGGGTCTTACTCTGTCACCCAGGCTGGAGTGCAGAGCACAGTGGTGCAGTCATGCTTCACTGCAGCCTTGACCTCCTGTGCTTAGGTGATCCTCCCACCTCAGCCTCCAGAGTAGCTAGGACTACAGGCGTGAGTCCCAGGCATGGCTGTGACTGGCCAAAAACCATTTTTAAAGGTTACTTTACCTTCATTCAAATTAGAAAACCACAGTCACCTAATTCACTGAGTTTTCAAAATGCAGCTAAGGTAGAAAAAATATGTGATTATTTAATCAGGTAGTGGCTCTCCAGAAAAAAACAGGGCAATTATTCTCATAAGAAAATTTAATACATATGCCAATTGCAAAATAATGTTAATTTCTATAATTGCCTAGATACTGTCAATTTAAATATCAAATGCCCAAATGTCAATGAAGGGTGACTAACCAGACAGTGTGGCACATGCCTATAGCCCCAGCTCAGGAGGCTACAGCAGGAGGATCACTTGAGCCCAGGAGTTCAAGGCTAATCTGGGCAACATAGTGAGACCTCATCTCTAAAATAAGTAAATAAATATGACAAAATTTACCATTTACTGTTTCAGAATTTTTCTTAATCTAAAAGGAAAAATCATCTTGATTTGTCAGTATTTTCATAGGCACACACTGTCTTTCCTTTCCACGTGGCTAATGATGATGAAAAACAGGAAGTCCTAAGAGACGGAAGGGTGGAGGGTATAATGGCAAAAAGTTTCCATCTCCAAAATGTTAAAGAGCAGGATCTCAAAACTAAGATAAAAACCATTTGGCCTGGCACAGTGGCTCACGCCTTTAATCCCAGCACTTTGGGAGGCTGAGGTGGGCGGATCACTTGAGGTCAGGAGTTTGAAACCAGCCTGGCCAACATAGTGAAACCCTGTCTCTACTAAAAATACAAAAAATTAGCTGGGTGTGGTGGCACACGCCTGTAATCTCAGCTACTTGGGAGGCTGAGGCAGGAGAATCACTTGAACCCAGGAGGTGGAGGTTGCAGTGAGCTGAGATCTCGTACCACTGCACTCCACCCTGGGCGACAGAGCAAGACTGTCTCAAAAAGGATAAAAACAATTTAAGAAATCTCAAGCTATTATAAGACTTCAGAATTCTGCTAATGATGTGTTCTTTAACGAATATTACAAACAATTATTTCAAATGCTTAAAAAACAAAATTATTCCCTGAGAGGATATATAATTTCCCCCATGAGAATGATTCCTACATAAAGGAAAGCCTGTATTCATGTGAATCTTGAAGGCCCTAAACTGGAAAGGTTACATAACAGTATCAAGACATACATATATTAAGTTAGAATTTCTCATTAAGCATATAATGCTTTTAAAGCCCAGTTAAACCTTATCAGGGCTTTTTAAAAACTGAAGATTACTGCACTATCAATTACTCTTCCTAAAATAACTACAATAAATTTGCTAAGACTCACTTGTAGAAACCAAGCAATGTATTTTCTCTTATCCAACTAAAAGGGTGCCAATAAACAGCTATCTAGTTTTAAATACAAACAAAAAACATTATTATTTTCTTATAGAACATCCACACATCTCTCACAGAACAAGTAACATCCAGTAACTATACCCCTTCCCCAATTCTGTCTTTGATCCTCTAACACTCCCCATAGTCCCTACATTGTGCCAGGTCTATCATGACTATATTTGACAGAGGGAGTTTGTTCACTGACCAGGTAATTTAAAATTTCTTCATACTATAAAGGTTGAGAAGAGGGCATGTTTCCTGTATTAAATTACACTGAATATTAATTAGGCCTTCAGGCTAATTTAGCTATTAATGTAGATATAACACACAGCAGCTAAAGTAGTATTTAGGGAAGTTTATTAGAGCACAGAGGTCAAGACAGGAACAATGATGGGTCTGACTGATCCCCATGGAGGTTAACTGGCTTTAGAGTTACCTTTGTTACAGCAGCTCTGAACCACTGACGGTTCTACGTAAATCACCACCCTTGTTGCAAAAACAACTTGAAGCACGTATGGAGACAGTATGTCAGTTGCTTTATATAAAAACTGCCATCTTTCCTTTTAAATTCCCCTAAACCACCATACACAAGTTAATCTTTTACTTTACTCAGGCTCCCAGCATTCTACAGCCATAAAACCTACTCTCTTCCTTTCTAAATTTTGCTCAAAGATTTGATCTTTCCCTTGGTAAGAAACACCATGATATAAAGAAGCACATTTATAAAACTCTTAGCCTTACCTGAAACTGACTCAGAAAATAACTCTGCAACAACAGGTACTCTACCTGTTCACAATAAAGTTCAATCTTCTTGAAGGTCCTCAAGTTCTCCCTACAATTTAGTCGACAGAAACTCATACTGTGCCTTGACACACTGTTGACGTGCAGATGTAAATAACTAGTAACAATGACACGCCAGGAAATGACTGAACACTATTCATCTTATGAGCCTCATTAAACAAGCATGGGGCTCAACGTTAACACAGTCAACACTAAGAGAAAGAGGCTGGGCATGGTGGCTACGCCTGTAATCTCAACACTTTGAGAGGTTGAGGTGGATCATTTGATCCCAGGAGTTCAGGGCTCCGGGACTGCCACTGCACTCCAGCCTGGGCAATAGAATGAGAATCTGTCTCAAAACAAACAAAACAAAACAAAAACACTAAAAGGAAGAGACTTAGAACTCTCTTCCTGCATAGAAACTTCTCAAATTAAATACCGCAGTACTTCAGGAAGAGGAGTTTTTAATTTACCCCACAGAATCAGACTCTCAGTGTAGGAAGACAGCTTAAAAATCATGTGACCATCCTATCATTTGTGCTGCTCAGTAAGGTAACATTTAGCTACATGTGACTGTTGAGCACTTGAAATGTGGCTTCTCCAAACTGAGATGTGCTGTAAGTATAAAATACCAGATTTTATAGATTTAGTATCAAATAATGTAAAATATCTCATTTTAAAAATTGATTTCATGTTAAAATAACATATATAAGATTAAATAAAATATACTACTAAAATTTTACCTGTTTCTTTTTACTTTCTTAATACCACTACTAGAAAATTTTAAATTACTTATATGGCTTGCATTGTATTTCTATTGAAGACTGCTGCTACAGACCTACAGCCTTAATTCTAACAGCAAGCAAGGACTATCACTTGGCATTTCCCAATTACAGTTGTCATTTAAAAGCCAAAAGAGGCTGGGTGTGGTGGCTCATGCCTGTAATACCAGTGTTTTGGGAGGCTGAGGTGGGAGGATTGCATGAGGCCAGGAATTTGAGACCAGCCTGGGCAACATAGCAAAACTCCGCCTTCACAAATAAATAAATATATTTAAATGTAAAAAGCAAGAAAAAAAGTATTTTAAAGGCGTGGTGGCTCACGCCTGTAATCCCAGCACTTTGAGAGGTGGAGGTCGGAGGATCACCTGAGGTCAAGACCACCCTGGCCAACATGGCGAAACTCCGTCTCTACTAAAAATACAAAAATTAGCTGGACATAGTAGCAGGAGCCTGTAATCCCAGCTACTCGGGAGGCTGAAGCAGGAGAAACTGCTTGAACCCGAAAAGCGGAGGTTGCAGTGAACCGAGATGGCACCAGCCTAGGCGACAGAGTAGACTCCATCTCAAAATTACTTCAAAAAGGCAAAAACAGCATAGGATAGAAAACCACACTTCTTAAGAAAAAAGATGGGAAATACTGCACACTAATCAAGTTTTTCTAATAAAGTATGTCTAAATCCTGATCATAAAGTTCATCTTTAAGGTGAAATCAACATTCTCAGCACCTGGGACCTCAGAAAAAAAATAAGATGTACAAAAATCTCTTATTATTCAAGTACCTTCAATTACAAACAAGTGAACCATCAACACTGTAAAAAGGGAATATTATAATGTAATTCTCTTTCCCAAAACCAAGAGAAAATAATAACACTCAAAAGCAAAATAAAAAATGACATCAGTTTTTCTAGGACTCAGTAGGCTAACTTTGGTCCACAAACATTATGAAATAAGACAGTGCATTTTAAAATAACTGTTTTGTTTTTAACCACAATGTGTTTATTTTTCTTTTTCTCTTTTTCTTTCTTTCTTTTTTTTTAAGGAGACAGAGTCTATGTTGCCCAGTCTGGCTTCGAACTCCCGGCAGCAAGTGATCCTCCCACCTTGGCCTCCCAAAGTGCTGGGATTACAGGCATGAACTACCATACCCAGCCACCACAGTGTTTTTTTTAAAAAGTCAGAAATTCAACGACACATTTCTATGAGTGAACCATGAAGACATAATTCTATTTTATCTGATTTAAAAATATTTAGGACTCCAGGTCCTGGAGGGGGAAAAAAGTGTATTTCTGAATCTATGAAAATGTTTTTTAAGGGGAGAGGGGGAGGCAGCTCAGTAATGGAGAGAGGTTCAGAGGATGCAAAGTCACCTCTAGAAAATTGTCAGTGAGAAAACTGTACGAAAAAAGAATTTAAGCAAATTAAGACCAATGAGTGAGTCCCCACAGTTTGCACAACAGTTGATGAGATATTTTCTATGATGTCCTAACAAATTTATAATACACAAAAGGTCATATTTAGTTGTCAATTCTTTATCCGCTTGAGCTTCATCAGATGAGTATAATCTTCAGACTATTTGCTGGGTGATACATTCCTTAGGAACCTTTTCCTCGTGCATTTAAATGCCAAACTCAATTACACTCTCAGTAGAGTAAGCAGAAAGGATTGTACGTATTCTAAGACACGGAGTTGATTGGCTGCCGTTTCTTGCCTTGGTGGTAAGGATAATGGGTAAAAGCTCTAAGTTTGATCCTGAAACACGGAAAACACTCTCAAAGAACCGTGTCTTCTAACATTGCCCAATAGGTAAAAAAAAAAAGACTGCCAAAATTTCCATTACAGCATCCTATTTTTAGTCTTCAAAATTGGGTCTTTTAAATCGCATTCCACAGTACGATGTGTTTGACTAAGTTTACATAAGGAATACAGTAAGCATCCTAAAGTCTTAATCTTTTTAAGCTTAGAAAGGAATTGTAAGCTTTTACATCTTCATTTTTAATCTTAACTTTAAGTCTTTTAAACACACAAACTGAAAAAATTAAGGAAAATATTGGCCCAGAGAGAGGAATGGAAGGGAGACACCACGCGGTTCTTGACAACCAAAGTGGTAGTGATGGGGGGGACCAGGTGTGGGGGGGAAATGAAAACCATCCACGAGGGTGGGGAGAGCGGGCTGTGGGCCACACAACAGAAAGGAACGGAGACCGTGGAAGCCGCAGGCTCCTCCAGGAGCCGGGTGAGGAACGACTTCTGGCGCTAGTCCCCTAGGGAGGGAGAAATTGGCGCGACGCGCAGCAATAGGAGACCCACAGTAGCTGAGAAAGGAGAGGAAAACAGGCGACCTGAGAGGCGGAGGAGGTAAGGGGACCGGGCTACACCTCACCCGGAGGGCAGAGGCTGCGCGGCTGGAGGAGGACAGCGCAGGGGGAGGAGCGAGAGGCTTCCGAAAGGCTTTCCATCCCGGCCGCGAGCCGGCGGGTCCCCTGCATCCCGCTCCTCCTCTCCTCACCTGGGAATCGGAGGCGCAAGGAGGGCTACCGCTGGGCGCCGGGTCTGTTTCCAGCCCCACTCGGCGACATGGCGGCCGACGTGCTGTCACGGAGCTTGCTCGGGTCTCCCCTGGCTCCGGTGGAGGAGACACCTCTCGCCTTTCCGCCCCGCCTCCCTCTGCGCACCCCTCGCGGCTGGCCGGCTGGAGGCTGGCGGCCCGCGACCGCGGAGCATAGAGCACTGGCGGCTAGAGAGGAAGCGCAGAGCGCGGACAACCATAGAGTACGAGTCCGGACACCAGCCGGATGGTCGGTCGCTCTCCTCAACGGTCCACTCACAATCCTCGGGCGGCTGAGCCGAGGCGGAAGCGGAAGTGAGGGAGAAAAGCAGGAAGGCTCCGCTGTTCGCATGCGCAGGCTCTAGTGTTTACTTCCGCTTGACCTGGCCCGGACGCCAGAAAATGTTCCACGTGGGATACCCTGCGTGGGGTTCACTGTAGTAGCTGCACTAGGTGATTCTTGGAGCGGGCCTGAGAGACAAGGACATGTGGATCCCAGTGGTCGGGCTTCCTCGGCGGCTGAGGCTCTCCGCCTTGGCGGGCGCTGGTCGCTTTTGCATTTTAGGGTCTGAAGCGGCGACGCGAAAGCATTTGCCGGCGAGGAACCACTGTGGGCTCTCTGACTCCTCTCCGCAGCTGTGGCCCGAACCGGATTTCAGGAATCCGCCAAGGAAGGCGTCTAAGGCCAGCTTAGACTTTAAGCGTTACGTAACCGATCGGAGATTGGCTGAGACCCTGGCGCAAATCTATTTGGGAAAACCAAGTAGACCTCCACACCTACTGCTGGAGTGCAATCCAGGTGAGTCCAGCTGAATTGCATTTTCTTGGATGTTCATCATTTATTCAAACGTATTGACCCTCCTCGGGGTGCTATTTTAGATACTGGGGGGTCTTTTTTGTTGTTCTTTTGCTTTGAGACGGAGTCTCGCTGTGTTGCCAGGCTGGAGTGCAGTGGGGCGATCTCGGCTCCCTGCAACCTCCGCGTACCGGGTTCAGGCGATTCTCCTGCCTCAGCCTCCCGAGTAGCAAGAACTACAGGCGCGCGCCACCACGCCCAGCTAATTTTCTTATTTTTACTAGAGACGGGATTTCGCCGTGTTGGCCAGGATGGTCTCGATCTCTTGACCTCGTGATCCTCCCCCCTAGGTCTCCCAAAATGCTGGGATTAGAGGCGTGAGCCACTGCGCCCGTCCAGATACGGGTCTTTGTTTGAAGCTCCTTAGTTGGAGAGATTGCCCACTACATAAGCGTAGAGTCTGTATCGTTAATGACACCACAAAGTATTTCTGTAGCAGCTTGCACTTTACACAATATTTTGATAAAACATGCTCTTAGATCTTATCTCCCCAAAAGAGTTGCAAGCCTCTGCCAGCTGAAAAAATGATGTTATCTTATTCTTCCGTGCATTCCCTATAGACCATAGCAGGATGCTAAGAACACAAGATTTATAGGCTTTTTGAATGATAGTTTTTTAAAGCACCATTTCATATCACAGGGAGTCAGTTCTGTTTAGGCTTGACAATCTCTTTGATGGTTAAAGCATCCGTGTAGTCCGTGAGGAAGTGATAGGCTAGAGGCAATCTATTTTGCTGTGACTTTTTTCTTCTAAGAGGTAGTGAATCATGGTGATGAAGAGTGCAAGTTTTGACCTGGTGCGGTGGCTCACGCCTGTAATCCAGCACTTTCAGAGGCCGAGGCGAGTGGTTCCCTTGAGGTCAGGAGTTCCAGACCAGCCTGGCCAACATGGTGAAACTCCGTCTCTGCTTAAAATACAAAAATTAGCCGGGCGTGGTGGCGGGCGCCTGTAATCCCAGCTACTCGGGAGGCTGAGGCAGGAGAATCGCTTGAACCCAAGAGGCAGAGGTTGCAGTGAGCCGAGATTGCCCCACTGCACTCCAGCCTGGGTGACAGAGTGAGACTTCGTCTCAAAAAAAAAAAAAAAAGAGTGCAGGTTTTGCAGTCGCTGACAATGATTTCAAAGCCAAGCTGCATCACTTTTGACGCTGGAGTCAAATAAGTATATATAATCTCCTGTTTCCTTATATGTAAAAAGGAGAGTGACATCTACTTTGCGGATGCTGTCAGATTTAAAAACCAGGTAATAACGTGTGAAACATCTAATGAAAGTTTGGTATTGAAAGAGATTATGTTTCTTGTACAAATAAACTTTTCGTTCTGTTAATGTGCCAGGTCCTGGAATCCTGACTCAGGCATTACTTGAAGCTGGTGCCAAAGTGGTTGCGCTCGAAAGTGACAAAACTTTTATTCCACATTTGGAGGTATATTTTTAGTTTCTCAACGTATGTTATTGTTTGTTCAACTATCTGTGAGTGGTTTAAGGAAATGGAATTAAGCACACAGTGTTTTACATAGAATATCTTTTAGGGAGCCATCTCTGAAATATCTTGTTTATTCCCAAAGACTAGAACACAGTTAATATTCAGTGCTGTTGAATGGCTGAAACATGAGGAGTTCTAAGACTTGTTTGCTAGTTCTAGGTCGGCTACAGCCTAGTTGGGTGACTTTGAACAAAGCGTATAACTGGCATCCCTAGGCTTGTTTCCCCATTTCTACTAAGCTGCGCTGTGCTCCTTTCTTCTGTGAGCTTGGAATCTAATTGGAATAAGTGCTAATATTAGGTTAATGGATCTGTGTAACCTCTATATTTAGGGTTTGAAAGGCAAGAAAGGTTGGCATACAAATTAAGTATTTTATCTGAAATGCTTGGGAACACAACTGTTTTGGATTTCAAATTTTTTCATATTTTGCAATATTTGCATATACATAATGAGATATCTTGGGGATGGGACCCGAGTCTAAAAATTCCTTTTTTGTTCCATATACATCTTATTCATAAGGCCTAAAGGCAATTCTGTATAATATTTTAAATAATTTTGTGCATTAAACAAAATTTGTGTACATTGGACCATCAGAAAGCAAAGGTGTCACTATGTCACCCACCCATGTGAACAATCTCCTTGTTTGACATCGTCATCATCCCTGACTTTTTTTTTTTTTTTAAGATGGAGTTTCTCTCTTGTCACCCAGGCTGGAGTGCAATGGTGCGATCTCGGCTCACTGTAACCACTGCCTCCCAAGTTTAAGCGATTCTCCTGCCTCAGCCTCCCAAGTAGCTGGGATTACAGGCGCCCGCCACTATGCCCAGCTGACTTTTGTATTTTTAGTAGTGACGGGGTTTCACCATGTTGGCCAGGCTGGTCTTGAACTGCTGACCTCAGGTGATCCACCCACCTTGGCCTCCCAAAGTGCTGGGATTACAGGCGTGAGCCACCATGCCTAGCTCCTGACTCCGAATTTATATGCTTCTGATAAGCCATCATTTTCTTACACTTATTCACACATGAGTGCTTAACAGTAGAAAAAATGACATACCATTAGTACAGTAAAAAAAAAAAAAAAAAGTGTGTTCAGAGAAACTAAGCAGCACAGCAGCATCAGAATCCCTGTGTCAGCTGTTGAACAGTGGAAACACACAGCGGCAGGCTTTCAGTCTCCTGGGATGCTGTGTTTTCATTGAAAGGTTACTGTACACCACATTTTATTTTTTCTTAAGAAGAAACATCAGAAGCAGCTGAGGGACCAGGAAGCGGGTCCGTCAAGGCTAAGGAGACATTCTGCCGGCCGGCTTTTAAAAATGTTTCCTGTGGGCCGGGCGCGGTGGCTCACACCTGTCATCCCAGCACTTCGGGAGGCAGAGGCGGGCGGATCACTAGGTTAAGAGATTGAGACCATCCTGACCAACATGGTGAAACCCCGTCTCTACTAAAAATACAAAACTTAGCTGGGCGTGGTGGCGCATGCCTGTAGTCCCAGCTACTCGGGAGGCTGAGGCAGGAGAATCGCTTGAACCCGGGACTCAGAGATTGCAGTGAGCTGAGATCACACCACTGCACTGCAGCCTGGGCGACTGAGCTACACTCTTTGTCTCAAAAAAAAAAAAAAGTTCCCTATGGAGTCATCTGCCTTATTAACAGTGGTTTTTGTCTTAGATGACTCCCTTCGATTTTTATAGACTGACCTCATCTTCGTGTTGTATACCTGCATTTTCACTGCAAGCCTGTCACAGAAGGTCGGGTGTCAAATTTTCCACTTTTGGCTTCATGTTGACACTCAAAAAGTTTCACATTTTGGAGCATTTCAGAATTTTTGGATTAAGGATGCTCAGCCTGTAGTCAGATACAGTTGCATAGAGTGAAGGCATCATCCAAATAGATTTTTCAGTGATTGTGCTTCTTAAAAAGCAGACACATTTACGTAACAATGAAGAAGTGGAAATCCTTTGGGTCTTTAACCAGTCTCTTACTCTCATTCTCCTTCCCTCTTTTATAATCTTCCGTTTCAACTTAGGAAACTTATATTTCTCTATGCCAACTTTGTGAAACCATGCAGAATGGCTGTATCCAAAATTGCATGACAACAAAAAATTGTGAAAATGTCTGTCAAATCCAGTTGTTTAATTCTTTTAAAACTATGAGTATGAAATTATTGTTATTCTACCACTTACTGTTTTGAAAAGAGTTCAAGGTTTTAGCTAGGTTATTTAATTGATGTTAAATCTGAGGGAGTTCCAAAAATGTGAAGAAAAAACACATAATTGTCCGAAGATTTAAGATCCTGAAATGTGATTCAGTAAACATAGTCATCTGTAGTTTCAACTTGGAAATTAAAAATGAGAAGATAACTTTTATCCTGATTTGAGGAAAAAAAAAAGCCTATATTTAAAGGTTAATCTACATATTCACAAAGTAATTAAGATTGTATTAAAATGTCTTTGTTTCTATTTAAAGTTTGTTATTCTGTAACACAGTAGTTGCTTTTTTCTATAAGATCTTCAAGGCTGAGGACCGAGGCCCATGCCTGTAATCCCAGCACTTTGGGAGGCCAAGGCGGGCAGGTCACTTGAGGTCAGGAGTTCAAGACCAGCCTGGCCAACATAGTGAAACCCCATCTCTACTAAAAATACAAAAAATTAGCTGGGCATGGTGGTTCATGCCTGTAATCCCAGTTACTTGGGAGGCTGAGGCAGGAGAATCACTTGAACCCGGTAGGTGGAGGTTGCAGTGAGCCGAGATCGTGCCATTACACTCCAGCCTGGGCTACAGGAGCAAAACTCAGTCTCAAAAGAAAAAAAAAACCTTCAAGATAACAGTTTAATTTTAAAACAATTGTTTAATGAAAAAAGGAAGGTTAGGGACTAGAGAATTTTTGAAACAATAATTATGATAGGAATATCAATAACAAAATGTTTCTGAAGCTATAAATGTCAGCTAAAAATATAAACATCATTGACTAAATCCAGTCTTTGATTAGAACTAGTTTTTTCTCTATTAAGGCTCTTATTTTCTACTAGCACTGACTTGTACTCAACCCTTAGTACATATTCTCTCACTTTTTAGTAACCATTGTTATGATAAATTGAAAAGCCATTCAAATAAAATTTTGTGTGAATTAATCTGTTTGCCAGAGTGAAAAGAGAAGTAACAATAGGTAAGCAGAACTCTTGTGGCTCTAAGTCAGGGACTTAAAGTGCTGCGCTTAGCGGATAATGCTTCTGGCCACCTAAAGTTTGTTCCTGAAAACTGAAAGGAGTTTCAGTGGTGAGAGCTGGGATTACAGGTGACCGCCACCACGACCGACGAATTTTTTGTATTTTTAGTAGAGACGTGGTTTTACCATGTTGGCCAGACTGGTCTGGAACTCCTGACCTCGTGATCCGCCCGCCTCAGCCTCCAAAGTGCTAGGATTACAGGCTTGACCCACTGCACCCAGTAAATGAGACAAACTTAATGACTAACTTAAGTACCTAACTTAATGACTAGTAAAAACTCAAGGGTTACTTGCCTTTTCTCTGTTTTTTCCCATTCTGTTTTTGAATCCTAATGCAATCCAGTTGAATTTTTAAATGTGATCTGTTGTATGAATTGAATTATTTATCCTGAAGCTTTGATTATTATCATGTTTGAATTGTTGAGTGTTAACTGACAAGTGCTAAAGCAAGAATGTATGGTGCCCTCTCAGAACATACAAGTGTATTGAGGCCATAAAGTGTTCATTGTTTATACATTTTCTTTTTCTTTTTTGAGACAGGGTCTCACTCCCATTGCCCAGGCTGGAGTGCAGTGCTGCAGTCACAGCTCACTACAGTCTCAACTTCCCAGGCTCAGGTGATTCTCCCACCTCAGCCTCCCAAGCAACTGGGATTACAGGCACACGCCCCCACACCTGGCTGATTTTTTGTATTATTAGTAGAGACAGGGTTTTGTCATGTTGTCCAGGCTGGTCTCAAACTCCTGGGACTACAAGCATGAGCCACCACACCTGTGCTGTTTAGCTTTCCTTAATTACAAAGATTAAACTGCCTTTTTGATAACTTGAAAGATTATGTTAATGCTATATCAGGGGTGTCCAATCTTTTGGTTTGCCTAGGCCACCCTGAAACATCAACTGTCTGGGCCATACATAAAATACAGTAATAAGAACAGTGGCTGATGAGCTTAAAAAAAAAAAAAGTCCATGCATACATCTCATAATGTTTTAAGAAAGATGACAAATGTGTGTTGGGCCACATTCAAAGCCGTCCTGGGCTGTATGCGGCCCTCAGGCCACAGGTTAGACAGCCTTGCCATGCGTGTTGACTGACAATCGTATGCATTAGGTAGGTACTCTTTCTTTTAGCTTCCATGACACCACACTCTTCTGGTTTTCCTCCTTAGTTGTATTCTCAGTTTCTTGTCATTAGACTTTGGACATACTCTACCTTCAGGGCTAGTCCTCTGTTTCTCCCTAGTGTAGACCCCTGACTTAAATTACCTTCAACAAGCCAAATTCCCACACATTTATATCGTCAGACTGGACCACTCCACTGAGCACCTTATTCAGGTCTGCAACTTCCTACCTGGCACCTCTACCTAGATCACATAGTAGGCATCTCGAAATTAATGTGACCAAATGTGTATGATTTCCACCCCCAGTCTTTCCCTTCCTCTAGTCTTTTTAAAACTTCCCCTTGAAAGTGATTGTTAAAATGTACTAGATTTGTTTGTTTATTTACTTTGGAGATGGAGTCTCACTCTGTCACCCTGACTAGAGTGCAGTGGTGCAATCTCAGCTCTCTGCAACCCCTGCCTCCTGGGTTCAAGCGATTTCTCCCACTTCACCTCCCCAATAGCTGGAGTTACAGGGGTGTGCCACCACCCCTGGCTTACTTTTGTATTTTTAGTAGAGACAGGGTTTCACCATGTTGGCCGTGCTCATCTCAAACTCCTGACCTTGTGTGATCCGCCCTCTTTGGCCTCCCAAAGTGCTGGTATTACACGTGTGAGCCACTGCACCCGGCCAAAATTTACTACATTTTGAGCTGGACACGGTATCACACACCTGTAATCCCAGACACTTAGGAGGCTGAGACAGGAGCATCACTTAAGGCCAGGAGTTGGAGACCAGCCTGGGGACATAGTGAGACTCATCTCAATAAAAAATAAGAAGAAAAAGTATTTTACTAGATTTAGAAATAGGATAATATAGGTTGAATACAAATGCTTAAGAAAAAATAGGTGTTTGCATTAATAACTTTAAGTTACATCATTTCCAACCTTAATAAATATTAATAGAATTTTCTGTGCACAGAAACATCAGTGTACACATTAAAAACATAATGCCTTCTTACTGATTTTTTTTTTTGTAACTTCGAATTAAGTTTATGGAGTCTATAACTGATTCTTGCCCTAACTATGAAGGTCTCTAGTACTACTGCAAGATGAGCAAATCAGAGCAGTGAGAAGACTGAGATATATTAGACCTCTTCCAGCAAACAAGGTGTATAGTTGCTTCTGTCTTTAGAAAAAGTAAATGAAAATTATGGAGATGAGCTAAGTTCATTTATTTGGTGGATAGCTGACTAGATTCCCCTAGAAGAAAGATATTCTCTTGAATCCATCTGCCTTTCACTTTTATATTTTAATTGTTTTTCTTTACTGTGAAACATCTTTCATTTTTTCTTCCCATGACCAAAGCAGATGGCTCACAGTTCTCTGTAAGAGGCCAACCATGGTGTCAGAATCTTTGCCCAGTGCTTCAGGTAACCACTACTAAGCAGGCAGGGAGTGGTGTGAAAAGCTTTTGAATAGCTGAAGCCATTATGATAAAGAAAGTAAGTGGGGCCGGGTGCAGTGGCTCACACCTGTAATCCCAGCACTTTGGGAGGTCAAGGTGGGCAGATCTCTTGAGCTCAGGAGTTTGAGACCAACCTGGGCAACATGGCAAAACCCTGTTGCTACAAAAAATCCAAAAATTGGTGGGGCGTGATGGTATGCACCTGTAGTCCTAGCTGCTTGTGGGACTGAGGTGGAAGGATCACTTAAGCCCAGGAGGTCAAGGCTGCAGTCAGCTGGGATTGCGCCACTGCACTCCTGCCTGGTTGACAGCTTGTCTCAAAAAAAAAAAAAAAGTAAACAGATAAAGAAAAATTTATGATAGTTTATTTCTGTTTGGGGGGCTTTTTCTTGGTAATATTGTACTTTTGCCACTTTTCAGGTATTAATTGATTTTTACTTCCTCTGTTAAATTTTGGGTATGTTAGTAATATTTTCTTTACATAGTTATGGAGGTAGAAATATTTTTTGTAAAAAGGTAATTCAGCCGGGCGTGGTGGCTCACGCCTGTAATCCCAGCACTTTGGGAGGCCAAGGTGGACGTATCATGAGGTCAAGAGATTGAGGCTCTCCTGGCCAACATGGTGAAACCCCATCTCTACTAAAAATACAAAAAACTGGCTGGGTGTGGTGGCACGCACCTGTAGTCCCAGCTACTTGGGAGGCTGGCACAGGATCACTTGAACCCAGGAGGCAGAGGTTGCAGTGAGCCGAGATGGCGCCACTGCACTCCAGCCTGGCAACAGAGCGAGACTCTGTCTCTCAAAAACAAAACAAAACAAAACAAAAAAACCCCAGGTAATTGAATTATTTTTATTTTTACATTTTATTATGGTTTTTTGAAGTAGAGTTTTTTGAATTGCTGCAAAGTATACTTAATGCTGAAAATTTTTAACGTGTTATCTTTGTCTCTCTTTAGTCCTTAGGAAAAAATCTGGATGGAAAACTACGAGTGATTCACTGTGACTTCTTTAAACTAGATCCTAGAAGTGGTGGAGTAATAAAACCACCTGCTATGTCTTCTCGAGGGCTCTTTAAGAATTTGGGAATAGAAGCAGTTCCTTGGACAGCAGGTCATTTTTGGAATTTACTAAAGCAAATACCTAGAATTTGCCAGGTGTCTCTAGCAGTATAACTGATTTGTTGATGAAATTTGTGTTTTATTTATTTGTTTGTTTTCTGAGATGGAGTCTCACTCTGTCACCCAGGCTGGAGTGCAGTGGCGCGATCCTGGTTCACTGACCCTCTGCCTCCAGGTTCATGTGATTCTCCTGCTTCAGCCTCCCTAGTAGCTGGGATTACAAGTGTGTGTCACCACACCTGGTTATTTTTTTGTATTTTTGGTAGAGACGGGGTTTCACCATGTTGGCCAGGCTGGTCTCAAACTCCAGCCCTCAAGTGATCTGCCCGCTTCGACCTCCCAAAGTGCTGGGATTACAGATGTGAGCCACCGTACCCCGCCGAATTTGTGTATAATTTATATTATATTAATACAGTTTATGAGCAGATGCTCTGACTCTGAATATGGCATTTACCTCACCTGGACACAGGTACCCAGTTTATTTCCCCAAAAGCCAAGTTTCATGCCAAGGAAAGATATTGAGGCTTAGTTTTAATTGAAATAAACTTGAAATTAATATAGTTTGTTAACTTAGTTTGTCTCAAAAAAATATGGACATAGGACAAAATGCTAAGAACTTTATTCAAATCTTTTTGCTTATATTCCTAACAGACATCCCTTTAAAAGTAGTTGGAATGTTCCCAAGTAGAGGTGAGAAAAGGGCACTTTGGAAACTCGCATATGACTTGTATTCCTGTACTTCTATATATAAATTTGGACGAATAGAAGTAAATATGTTTATTGGTGAAAAAGAATTCCAGGTATGTTATTAACAAATACCTATTTTTTGTTCTGAGTCTGTAATTTTTCTCTGAGTACTCTTAATCTGTGCGATTTTAATTTAGGGCTCGTGACATTTGAGGGTCTAAGATTGTTTTTAAATTCTGCAGAGCAGTCTTATGCTCAGGTTGCTTTTTCAGTGTACAGTTGAGTGGTTTTAACTGCATTCCCATTGTACAGCCATTACCATCATCTGTCTCCAAAACTTTTCATCATCCCATACCAAAACTCTGTACTCATTAAACACAAACTCTCGTTTCCCTCTTCCTGCGTCCCCTAGTAATCATTATTCTACTTTCTGTCTCTATGAATTAGACTATTCTCTTTACCTCATGTAAGTTTACTCTACAATATTTCTTTGTGTCTGGCGTATTTCACTTAGCATAATGTTTTCAAGGTTCATCAATGTTATAGCATGTGTCAGAATTTCATTCCTCTTTAAGGCTGAATAATATTCCATTCTGGCCGGGCACGGTGGCTCACTCCTGTAATCCCAGCACTCTGGGAGGCCAAGGCATGCTGATCGCTTGAGGTCAGGAGTTCGAGACCAGTTTGGCTAACATGGCAAAACCCTGTCTCTACTAAAAATACAAAAATTAGCCAGGCGTGGTGGTGCATGCCTGTAATCCCAGCTACTTGGGAGGCTAAAACAGGAGAATCACTTGAACCTGGGAGGAGGAGGTTGCTATAAGCCCAGATCATGCCCCTGCACTCCAGCCTGGGCAACAGAGCAAGACTTTGTCTCAAAAAAAAAATCTATTGTATATATATACTACAGTTTGTGTGTTGATGTATCAATGACATTTGGTTGCTTTTACCTTTTGGCTGTTGGGAATAATGCTGCAATGAACATGAGTTTACCAATATCTCTTCAAGTCCTTTGAGTGTACAGCTAGAAGTAGAATTGCAGGATCATATAGTAATTCTATTTTTAGTTTTTTGTGGGTTTTTTGTTTTTTGTTTGATTGTTTGTTTGTTTTTTGAGACAGGGTCTTGCCCTGTTGCCCAGGCTGGAGTGCAGTGACATGATCACAGCTCTCTGCAACCTGGACCTCCTGGGCTCAAGCGATCTTCCCGCCTCAGCCCCCAAGCTGGGACTGCAGCCACACACCACCAGGCCCAGCTTTTTGTAGCGATAGGGTCTTGCCATGTTGCTCAGGCTGGCCTCCAACTCTGGGACTCAAGCAGTCCTCCTGCCTCAGCCTCCTAAAGTGTTGGGACTACAGGCATGAGCCACTGTACCCAGTCTATTTTTAGTTTTTTGAGGAACTGCCATACTGTTTGTTATCCGTCGTGGATGCACCATTTGATATTCCTACCAGCAGTGCACAAGGGTTCCGATTTCTCCACAGCATTACTGAGAGTCGTTTTCTGGGTTTTTGGTAATACCTCTCCTAATGGTATGAAGTGGTATTTCATTGTGCTTTTGATTTGCATTTTCCTAATAATTAGTCATGTTGAATATATTTTTATGTACGTACTGACTGTATATCTTTTAAGAAATGTCTGTTCAAGACATTTGCCCATTTTTAATGGGTTATTTTGTTTGTTGCTGAGTTTTAAGAGTTCTTTATATATTCTGGATATTAATCTCTTATCATACATGATTTACAAATATTTTCTCCCATTCTATGGGTTGCCTTTTAACCCTGTTAATTGTGTCCTTTGATGCCCAAAGTTTTTCATTTTGATGAAGTCAACTTTGTCTTTTTTTCTCTTTTGTTGCCTGTGCCTTTGGTATCATACGTAGCTGGGCGGTCCCCAACATCTTTGGCACCAGGGACCAGTTTTGTGGAAGACAGTTTTTACGTGGATGGCGGCGGGGATGGTTTCAGGATGATTCAAGTGCATCACATTTATTGTGCACTTTATTTCTATTATTATTACATTGTAATATATAATGAAATAATTATACAACTCACCATAATGTAGAATCAGTGGGAACACTGAGCTAGTTTTCCTGAAACTAGATGGTCCTACTTGCGGGTGACAGGAGATAGTGACAGATCATCGGGATTAGATTCTCATAAGGCCCTTGCAAAACCCAGATCCTTCGCATGCGCAATAGGGATTGTGTTCCTATGAGAATCTAAGGCGGCTGCTGATCTGAGAGGAGGTGGAGCTCAGGCGGTGATGTGAACGGTGGGGAGCGGCTATAAATACGGATGACGCCTCGCCTGTTCACCTGCCGCTCACTTCCTGCTGTGTGGCCCAGTTTCTAACAGGACACGGACTGGTATCAGTTCGTGGCCCGGGGATTGGGGACCTGTGTCGTAGCTAATAGATCATTGCCAAATCCAGTGTTGTGAAGGTTTCCTTGTGTTTTCTTCTAAGAGTTTTATAGTTTTGGCTCTTGTTTAGGTCTTTGATCCATTTTCAGTAAATTTTGCTTATGGTTTCAGTGTCCAGCTTCATTCTTTGATCTAGTTTTCCCAGCACCGTTTGTGGAAAGACTGTTCTTTACTGCCATTAAATGGCTTTGGCGTTGGTGTCAGAAATGATTTGACCATATGTGTACGCGTTTATTTCTGGGCTCTATTGTATTCTATTGATCTAAATATTTGTCCTTAGGCCAAGACAACACTGTGTTGCTACTGTTACCTTGGTAAGTTTTGAAATCAGGGGCTGATTCATCCAAATTTATTCTTTTTAATGATTGTTTAGGCTATTTGAGTTTCCTCGAGATTCTATATGGATTTTAGGCTGGATTTTTCTGTTTCTCCAAAATGCGTTAGGATTTTCCTAGGGATTGCGTTGAATCTGGAGATTGCTTTGGGTGGTAGTGGCATCTTAACAGTATTCAATATTAAATCTTCCAATCCACGAACATGAAATGTCTTTCCATTTATTTGTGGGTTTTGTTGTTGTTGTTGTTTTCATTTTTGTTTGACACAGGGTCTCACTGTCGCCCAGGCTGGAGTGCAGTGGCAGGATCACAGCTCACTGAAGCCTTGACCTCCCAGGCTCAGGTGATGCTTCCACCTCAACCTCCCCAGTAGGTGGGACTACAGGCGTGCACCCCCGTGCCTGGCTGATTATTGTCTTTTTTGTAGAGATGGTTTTACCACGTTGCTCAGGCTGGTCTTGAACTTCTGGGTTCAAGTGATCCTTCTACCTCAGTCTCCTGAGGTGCTGGGATTGCAGGTGTGAGCCACTGTGCCTGGCCTCCATTTATTTGTGTTTTTAATTACTAGCTTTTAAGTTACTTTTGGTGCTATTGTAAATGGAATTGTTTTTCGAATTGTCCGTTGGTAGTGCATAAAAATGCAACTGATTTTTGTATCCTGCAGCTTTGCTGAATTTATTAGGTTTTTTGTTTTGTTTTGTTTTTTTTAGACGGAGTCTTGCTCTGTCGCCCAGGCTGGAGTGCAGTGGCGCAATCCCGGCTCACTGCAACCTCCGCCTCCCAGTTTAAGTGATTCTCCTGCCTCAGCCTCCTGAATAGCTGGGATTACAGGCACGCGCCACCATGCCCAGCTACTTTTTTTGTATTTTTAGTACAGATGGGGTTTCACCATGTTGGTCAGGCTAGTCTCAAACTGGTGACCTCATGATCCGCCTGCCTCAGCCTCCCAAAGTGCTGGGATTACAGGTATGAGCCACAGCGCCCAGCCAGGTTTTTTTTCCCTCCCTTTGTTTTTAAATAGAGACAGTGTCTCACTTTGTTGCCCAGGCTGGTCTCAAACACCTGGGCTTAAGTGATCCTCCTCCCTCGGCCTCCCAAAATGCTGGGATTACAAGTGTGAGCTACCATACTCAGCTGAATTTATTAGTTTTAACAGGATTTTTTTTTAATATTTAAGGGGTATTATAATTATTTTTTTTAACTTTAAAACATTAAAAGAAATTTTTTTAGAGACAGGGTCTTGCTCTGTTGCCCAGGCTTGAATGTCGTGGTATGTTCATAGCTCACTGCAGCCTCAAACTCCTGGGCTCAAGTGACACTCCTGCCTCAGCCTCCCTGTAGCTGGGACCACCTGTGCACACCACCACACCCAGGTAGTTTATTTTTGTAGTGACAGGGTCATGCTGTGTTGTTCAGGGTGGTCTTGAACTCCTGTCTTCAAGTGATTCTCCTGCCTCGGCCTCCCAAAGTGCTAGGATTACAGTTGTGAGCCATTACACCGAGCCTAAGATTTGAGACTCTAGTTCAATTCTCTGTAATGGAAGGTCTTCCTGACAACCTTGATCTCGCTATGAGTGTCATCTTTCTTTTCTGCCCAGAATGTTTCATGTTATTGATCTGTTAATCCAGTTTGACGGGAAATGCTTGTTTGTCTTGCTGTGTTGCCCATGCTGGAGTGCTATGGCTTTTCACAGGCACGGTCATCTCACACTGAACCCCCAAACTCCTAGACTCAAGCAGTCCCCTTGCCTCAGCCTTTCGAGTAGCTGGGACTACATGTGCACACCACTGCACCCAGCTTTTTGTATCTAATTCTAGTTTTCTCTGCTTAAATTTCTAGATGCTATTAAGATAGTACTATTAAGACTCAAAGAAGATTAAGATTTTTATAATGCTTATTTGTATTGCTATGGATTAGGATAGTGGGGCAAAAAATGAAGGGATGATTTGCTCCCCCAGACCCATTTAGTAAATACATATTTGCTAGCCATGGAAAGACAGCGAGGGCCTCAGGACCTTGGGGCTGTGCATACGCTATTCAACAAAGGAAAGACAAGGAGAAGAATAGGAAGTGCTGTGTTAGATTCCTGCTGCTAGGGTTATATTCCACTGGCCCATGCCTCTTTTGCCGTGGACCTTTTCACATGTGGTTTCTTGTCTGCGGAGTGCCTTCCCATTCGTTGAGGTAACCTCGTCCTTTCAAGTCAGCCTTAACACTTGTGTGTTGTTGTTTTTTAAGAGATGCGGTCTCACTATGTTGCCCAGGCTGGTCTTGAACTTCTAGGCTCAAGCATCCTCCCACCTTGGCCTCCCAAAGTGCTGGAATTACAAGCGTGACCCCGCGTGCCCTGCCGTTGCCCCTGCCGGAGTGCTGTGGCTATTCACAGGCACGATCATCTCACACGGAACGCCCAAATGCCTGGGCTCAAGCAGTCCCCTTGCCTCAGCCTTTCGAGTAGCTGGGACTACAGGCGTGCACCGCTGCACCCGGCTTTTTGCATCTAATTCTAGTTTTCTTTTCTTAAATGTCTAGATGCCATTAAGATAGTCCTATTAAGAGTCAGCATTTGTTTTTAATTGATTATAGATGTGTATAACATGTAATTTTTATTTTCCTTTTACTAGAAACTAATGGCAGATCCCGGAAATCCAGACTTGTATCATGTATTAAGTGTTATCTGGCAATTAGCTTGTGAGATTAAGGTTCTGCACATGGTGAGTAAAATCCTTCTGTTTAAAAACGTTTTTCTTTAGCGACAGGGTCTCATTATGTTGCCCAGGCTGGAGTGCAGTGGCACAATCATAGCTTGCTGCAGCCTTGAACTACTGGACTCAAGTGATCCTCTCACCTTAGCCTCTGGAGTAGCTGGGACTACAGCCAGGCGCCACCATGCCTGGCTAAGTTTTAAAATGTTTAAGAATATTGCCCAGCCTGGTCTTGAACTCCTGGCCTCAAGTGATCCTTCTGCCTTAGCCTCCCAGATCACTGGGATTACAGGCATGACCCACTGCACCTGGCTCTATTTTTTATTTTTTTATTTTTTGAGATGGAGTCTCACTCAAGTCACCCAGGCTGGGGAGCAGTGGTTCGATCTCGGCTCACTGCAACCTCTACATCCTGTATTCAAGCAATTCCCCTGCCTCGGCCTCCCGAGTAGCTGGGACTACAGGCGTGCACCGCCACACCTTGCTAATTTTTGTATTTTCGGTAGAGACAGGTTTCACCACATTGGCCAGGCTGGCCTTGAGCTCCTGACCTCAGGTGATCTACCCGCCTCAGCCTCTTAAAGTGCTGGGATTACAGGCGTGAGCCACTGCGCCTGGCCCTGGCTCTAATTTTTAAATATTTACAATGTGGATCTTCACGTGTTCTCGTCACTGCTTCCGCCTGAGAATATGCTGAGGTCTTCAGTCTGCACCTTGCTGTATTTTTTTTTTAAGCTCAGGAATGTTATCTCATTTGATTTTAGCTTTTGTTCCAATTCTTTTTTTTTCCCCTCAAAAACATTTGAGGTTCTTAGGTTGGATCTCTGATCCTTGTCTTTCGTGTCTGTCATGCTCTCATCATTTTTCTCCATTCCCAGAATCTCTTCACACTTAGTCTTCACATCACTGATTCTGCTTTCTGCCTGCACTGTATATTGTACTCTCAGTACTATAGTTCTTGGTTTCTCTAAAATTCTTCCTTACCCACTGATCTTGTCTCATTCTGTTGACTTTCATCTCAAGTCTTCTGTCCTGGTAGCTTTCAGCTAGTTTCTTCAGAGAGGCCCTCTGAGGACTTTAGCTTGCAGAATGTTTTCGTCTTCTTGTTCCCTTAGTATTTGCTTTCAAAGGTCCCGTGTTAGGTTTTGCCATTTACTAAACTCCAGAAAGGAAAGGTCTTTCTGGACCTAACGTTTCTCAGCACTTGCTCCACTGTGTGTCTACATCTGTAGAGTAAGTTGTTGAAGTCAATTCCCAGTGTCTTGCAGGTTTTCCTCCACTGTGCTTGATGAGGGGAAAGCTGTTGAGGCTCGACCAGGCGTGTGGGAAGTGGCAGTACTCATTGTGCACGGCTGATGGTGCTTTTCTTCCCCCACTTAAAGTGACATTCCTGGAACTGCTAGGAATTTCACAATTTGGCCACAATTATATGTTTTAGCCACTCTCATTGCCCCTGCAGTTAATAATAAATTGTTACTTGACAGTAGCCTTTCAGACCTTGTGTTCAATATTGTTTAGTCTTTTAAGCCTATGTCAGATCTATTTTAACCCACTCTTATTTTGGAATTTAATATGGTTATGGGTATGTATAGTTTTTTTAATAGAGAATACTTTTTCAGGTGGGTCGGTTTTTTATTTTGAGACACGATCTCACTCTGTCAGCCCAGGTTGGAGTGCACCAGCACAATCCCGGCTCACTGCAACCTCCGCCTCCCAGGCTTAAGCAATCCTCCCGCCTCAGCCTCCCAAAGAGCTGGGACTGCAGGCATACACCACCACACCCAGCTAATTTTTGTATTTGTTGAAGAGACAGGGTTTCACCATGTTGCCCAGGCTGGCCTTGAACCCCTGAGCTCAAGCGGTCCTCCTCCCTCAGCCTCCCAAAGTGCTGGGATTACAGGCATGAGCCACTGTGCCTGACCGGATCATCTCTTAAAATTGCCTTATGCACAAAATTCTCTTACAAAAGATAGATACCGAAAAATAGTGATCCATTTTAAAATTGACACTAGGTTTTTGTTATTGTTGTTTTTGGATAGGGTCTCACTCTGTTTCCCAGGCTGGAGTACAGTGGCTTACTGCAAACTCCAGCTCCCAGGCTCAAGCAACCCTCCCACTTTGGCCTCCCAAAGTGCTGGGATTATAGGCATGAACCACAGCACCTGGTCGACACTAGTATCTTTATTTGTTTATTTCCATATATGTTCTAACATATTCAAATAGTTTGATTAGTAGGCTTTTCCACTGAAGTAGGGCAAAAAGAAATCCTCAGCATTAATCTAATATCCCTTAAACTGCTGATTCTGACTGTGATATGGAAATATTGAGTGGTAAAAATTATAACAAATACTTATTTGCGTAATTGCATAACAGGCGAAGTCATGTTTAATAAGGAAAAGAGGTACTAGTATTTGGGTAGACTTTTGATCCTCCTCCTCTTTAAAAAAATTAAGGAGAGAGATGTGTATTATTTAGCTATAACATGTTTCTTTTAAATCCAATTAGACTGACCATTCTCTTATTTAGGCAAGGTGTTTTTTAAGGAAGTAATAACTGGGGCACTTTGACCAAAGAGAAATAAAAGATGTTGTTTTGCTTTGTTTTTCTTCCCCAGGAGCCTTGGTCATCATTTGATATATACACCCGGAAAGGGCCGCTGGAAAACCCAAAGCGTAGGGTAAGAATAAAATAATACCTTTTCCTTTTTCTCCCTACGTGACGTATTTTTTATTTTATTTTTTTAGGACTATTTGGTAGTCTGTATTTAACTTTTTAATTTTAAAATATCTAGAAACATTCTTTAAACATATCTTACTACTTTTAATGAATCAAAAGTATTTTGGAAGAGTTATCAGCTGTTATACAATGGATGCTAGCATAGTAATAGGCTTAAAAACAGAATCTGAGTTCTCTTCTTATATCTTTTGAAATGAAGGTACATTTCAAATTTGGAAAATAAAATCATTTTAATATTTATCTAATTCGATTAATTAGAAACAAAATTTTATGACGTATTAATCGATTAGAAATTTGTGATATTCAAGGTCAAGAGATCGGGACCACCCTGGCCAACATGGTGAAACCCCGCCTCTATTAAAAATACAAAACTTAGCTGGGTGTGGTGGCGCATGCCTGTAATTCCAGCTATTCAGGACGCTGAAGCAGAAGAATCACTTGAACCTGGCAGACAGAGGTTGCAGTGAGCCAAGATCGTGCCACTGCACTCTAGCCTGACAACAGAGCGAGACTCTGTCTCAAAAAAAAAAAAAAAAAAATTGTGATATTACTACTCTTATTACATGGTTGAATTCACTGATAGGTACTTCTTGATTTTTACCCAGGAGTTAGGCCTTTATTTTTGTTCATTTTTTAATCTTTGTACGTAAGAACCAAAGTGACAATGTTATAGTCCTCCATTTAGTTTATCTCAGGGCTAGTTGTGAAATTCTAATAAAGTAGCTAAAGTTTCACAAAACAATTTTTTGACTCAATTCAGAAGTTTCACTTTAGAATTAGATGCCTGTCTTTAAGGTTTGGGGCTTAAAAAAAAAAAAAACGAATTAAATGCTAACAATGGCCTAATCTCAGCATAACAGCTTAGTCTGAAGATCTTGTTTGTTTGCTTACTTATGTTTTTTTCTCACACTTGCCACTAAAGGAAAAAGAAAATTATCAGTTTTCTTTCAATGTTGTGATTTTAGAGTGATCAGTCATCATTGTGCTTTTAGTTCTGTTTGACTATTTATACAGCATATTTATGTAGTCCCAAAAAACAGAATAGGAATAATGCATTTTGTCTAATACAGTACATTTGGATACTATTGGGGACTTATCCAAATATTCCACAAATGAACAATCCTGTATATAATATACTTTCTCAGTTTTTCAGCAAGAAGCTGAAAAGCTTAAGTTTTTTTGGCCAACTTAAAAATATAAACTTGGCCGGACGTGGTGGCTCACACCTGTAATCCCAGCACTTTGGGAGGCCGAGGTGGGTGGATCACGAGGTCAAGAGTCTGAGACCAGCCTGGCCAACGTGCTGAAACCCCATCTCTGCTAAAAATACAAGAATTAGCTGGGTGTGGTGGCGTGCGCCTGTAGTCCCAGCTACTCAGGAGGCTGAGGTGGGAGAATCAGTTGAACCTGGGAGGCAGAGTTTGCAGTGAGCTGAGACTATGCCATTGCACTCCAGCCTGGATAACAGAGTGAGACTTTGTCTCAAAAAAAAAAAAAAAAAATGTGTGTGTGTGTGTGTATATATACATATATAAACTTTTAGGGATGAAGATGAAATAAGCAAATGTCATATTTTATGACAGAATTTATTTTAGATATTTCACATGTGTCTTTGATATCAAGGTGCTCATATTGCTATGGAAGCAGTTTGAGACATTTAACAGGTTTTTAGGGCCTGTCATTTCTATCCAAGTTTTGTTTGAGACCTACTTTTTAAATATCCGATTAAAAATTTTAGTCAATAACTTTTTTTGTCCTTTGGATCCGATGGTGATGTTTTATCTTGAATATAGCAAGGACTCAATATATGTTAATGCCATGTTTGGGTTTTTTTTTTTTTCCTTTTTTTATTTTTTATTTATTTATTTTTTTGAGGCAAAGTCTCATTCTGTCACCCAGGCTGGAGTGCGATGGCATGATCTTGGCTCATTGCAACCCCTACCTCCCGAGTTCAAGTGTTTCTCCTGCCTCACCCTCCCGAATGCTGGGATTACAGGCATGCTCCACCACGCAGGGCTAATTTTTGTATTTTTAGTAAAGATGGGGTTTCAACCACGTTGGCCAGGCTGGTCTCAAACTCCTGACCTCAGGTGATCCGCCTACCTTGGCTTCCCAAAGTGCTGGGATTACAGGCGTGAGCCGCCACGCCCAGCCTATTTTTTTTTCTTTTTTTAAAAGACAGTGTCTCACTCTTCTCCCAGGCTGGAGTGCAGTGGCATAATCACGGCTTACTGCAGCCTCAAACTCCCGGGACTCAAGTGATCCTCCCACCTCAACCTCCCAAATAGCTGGGACCACAGATGTGCATCCCACGCCCAGCTAGTTTGTTTGTTTGTAAAGAAGGAGTCTCCCTGTGTTGCCCAGGCTGGTCGCTAACTCTTGGGCTCCAGCGATCCTCCTGCCTCGGCCTCCCAAAGTGTTGGATTGTAGGTGTGAGCAACCCGGCCTCATGTCTGGGATTTGATTTTACCCTACTTACATGTTAATAAATGTTACTGTTTCTCGGATGTTGGCCTAAGACTCCTGGATCAGACAGAGGATGTTCTGTGCCTCTCTTCCCATGGAGTGATGTGAGGTGGCTCAGTTGGGTGCCTTGCATTTAGTGGACTTGCTTTGCAGCTGAGAAGTACAGAGCTGGGGGAATCTAGGTCTTTTTTTTTTTTTTTTTTTTTTCGAATCAGGGTCTTGCTCTGTCACCCGGGCTGGAGTGCAATGGCGTAATCTCGGCTCACTGCAAACTCCACGCAGCAGTCTCAAGCATCCTCCCATCTGAGCCTCCTAAGTAGCTGGGGCTACAGGCATGCACCACCATACCCTGCCAATTTTTGTACTGTTTGTAGAGACAGGGTTTCGCCATGTTGTCCAGGCTAGTCTTGAACTCCTGGGCTCAAGCGATCTGCCCACCTCAGCCTCCCAATGAATCCTCCTCCTTCATAGCAAACATTAAGCAAGCCTGCCCTTTTGTTTTTTTAAGAGAAGGCCTGGCTCTGTCAACCAGCCTTGAGTGCAGTGGCATGCTCTCAGCCTCCACCTCCTGGGCTCAAGCCATCCTCCCACCTCAGCCTCCCGAGTAGCTGGGACTACAGGCACACACCACCACACCCAGCTAATTTATTTTTTATAGAGATGGGGTTTTGCCACGTTGTCCAGGCTGGTCTTGAACTCCTGACCTCGAGTGATCCACGCCTTGGCCTCCCAAAGTGCTGGGATCATGGGCATGAGCCACTGCACCCAGCCACAGGCCTGCTCTTTGTCCTGGAGAGAGACGTTATCTCCTCCCTCAAGGTTACTCATCACAAACAACTCTGAGAAATGGCCCAATTCATTGGTAAAGACCAATTAGGGCTTTGTGTTCTTGGTGTACACAATAAGAAAATGTGGGCCGGGCACGGTGGCTCACGCCTGTAATCCCAGCACTTTGGGGAGGCCGAGGCGGGCGGATCACGAGGTCAGGAGATCGAGACCATCCTGGCTAACACGGTGAAACCCCATCTCTACTAAAAATACAAAAAATTAGCCAGGCGTGGTGGTGGGCGCCTGTAGTCCCAGCTACTCGGGAGGCTGAGGCAGGAGAATGGCATGAACCCGGGAGATGGAGCTTTCAGTGAGTGGAGATCACGCCGTTGTACTCCAGCCTGGGCGACAGAGTGAGACTCTATCTCCAAGAAAGAAAAAGAGAATGTGAAGACACTCAGGGCCTGTGGTGATTGTGTCTTTCAGCAGATAGCTTGAAGGAAGAAGTGAGCAATGTCTTACTCTGGCAATATTTTGTGACTAATGCAATTCATTTTTTCTTCTCTCCAGGAATTATTAGACCAATTACAACAAAAGCTGTATCTTATTCAAATGATTCCTCGTCAAAATTTATTTACCAAGAACTTAACACCTATGAACTATAATATATTTTTTCACTTGTTAAAGCACTGTTTTGGGAGGCGCAGCGCCACTGTAATAGACCACTTACGGTGAGTAAAAAGAATAAAAGCAAGTATAAAGTAGCAACGATGCACAAATTATTCTTTCATGCTAGAGATCTATTTTTATATCTTGATTGACAGAGTGAGGTACCATGTTTTCCCTCATATTTCTTCAAAATAATTTGTTCTCCCTGGTGTACATTTTGAGGAAAATATATTTTTCCCATAATCTCTCATTGAGTTTCATTTATTTTTCCTTCTTTAAAAAAATGCCCAGATTGTTTAATCTTTTTGAGAGTATGGGCTTAGCTTTATCTTACAGGAAGCACTAGCTGCCTACCACTAGTGGGGTGGAGAGAAATCAGCATTACTGGAGGCGTGCCCACACTTACCTCTCATTGCTTGTCTTCAGTGGTTCTGTTCCTTAACCAGAGTAGGGATAGATAATTATACCACCCTGGTTCCCTTGCTCTGGATCAAATTTTGTTTTTACCCAAAGCTTTGTAAAAATAATAGCTTGTAAGTAACACTACTTGCTTTATGTCTATATAAGTGAAAAACATTTTTTTGTTGTTGTTAGAGACAGGGTCTCGCTGTGTTGTCCAGGCTGAAGTGTAGTGGCACAGTCTCAGCTCACTGCAGCCTTGTCCTCCCAGGCTCAAGTGATCCTCCCACCTCAGCCTCCTGAGTAGCTGGGACTACAAGCATGCACCACCACGCCCGGCTAATTTTTATATTTGTAAAAATATAAAATTTTTATATTTATATTTTGTGTTTATAAATTGTATGCCAATTTTTGTAGAGATGGGGTTTTGCCACCTTGCCCAGGCTGGTCTCAAATTCCTGGCCTCAAGCAATCCACCTTGCTTGGCCTCCCAAAGTGCTGGGGTTACAGGCATGAGCCACTGCACCTGGCCATCCATGTAATTTGTATGTAGGGCTGATGCACACACCTCTGTAAGTAGTGCTGGGGTTACAGGCGGGAGCCACCATGCCTGGCCATCCATGTAATTTGTGTGTAGGCCTGATGCCCACACTTCTGTAAGTACAGCTCAGGTTACCAGCATGAGCCACTGCGCCTGGCCATCTATGTAATTTGTATGTAGGGATGATGCATACATCTCTGTAAGTAGTGTTGGGGTTACAGGCATGAGCTCCCGCGCCCAGCCATCTGTGTAATTTGTACATAAATCCATGTAATTTGTATGTAGGGCTGATGCATACGTCCCTGTAAGTTGTGCATTATGCCTTGTAATCAGCAGCCCATAGTCATTCAAAGTCTCGCCAGAGGATGGGTAAAATGTTAAAATAATTATTTTAACAAATTTGATCATTTAATATTTAACTCTGAATGAGCTGTTGACTAGACAATATTTATCTAAAAATAAATGTTAAAAGTGGCAATAGCCTGGGTGCAGTGGTTCATGCCTGTAATCCGAGCATTTTTGTGAGGCCAAGGTGGGAGGATCACTTGAGGAGGCCGGGGATTGGAGGCTGTAGTGAGCCATAAACTCACCACTGCATTGCAGTGTGGGACACAGAGCAAGCTGACCTTGTCTCTAAAAAAAAAAAAAAAAAAAAAATTGGGAGGCAGAGAGCGCCAACAAGACTTTGAGATGAGCCTGGGTGACAGAGCAAGACTCTATCTCTAAAAAAAAAAAAAAAAAAAAGTGGTAATAGACTAGTAAAAGGCAATAGACTAATAAAAGGCAATCTATTATTTTTCATCTTGCCACCTTGTGGCTATTTTGAATGAAAATATCAAGAAAATAGGGAAATAAGGAATAAATGTTGTAAATCATAGTGCAAAATATTAAAAATGCTCCTGGTAATCTCAGTGGACTAGAAACATGTTACCAAGATTCTATTCAATATCAAAAAGTATTGGAATTGAACAGACAGAGAGTCTCACTCTGTTGCCCAGTCTGGAGTACAGTGGCACAATCATAGCTCACTGCAACCACAAACCCCTTGCTCAAGTGATCCTGCCTCAGCCTCTTCCCTGAGTAGCTGGGACTACTATGCCCACCACTATGCCCAGCTAACTTTTTACGATTTTTGTAGAGATGGGGTCTCACTATGTTGCTCAGGATAGTCTTGAACTCTTGGGCTCAAATGATCCTCCCACCTAGCCCCCCAAAGTGCTGGGATAACAGGTAGGAGCCACCGCACCCAGCCCAAAATATTTTTTTACAATTGTTGTTGTTGGAGGCTTATTGATGGTTTGTTGCTAAGCTGATACACAGTTATGTACCTCATATTATGGTATATAATATACCTCATTGATTATATATTGTATATATATTATATAATATACCTTATATATATAATACCTCATAATGAGGCGTGTTCGTTATACCTCGTTTCAGTCAGTAGTGGACCAAATGTACAATAGTGGTCCCATAAGATTATAAAGATGCTGTATCTTTTACTGTATCTTTTCTATTACTTACCATTGTGTTACAGTTGCCTACAGTATTCAGTACAGTAACATGCTGTGCAGGTTTGTATCCTTGGAGCAATAGGCTATGCCATATATCCTAAGTCTGTAATAGGCTATATCACATAGGTTTGGGTTAAGTACTCTGTAAGATGTTCAAGCAACAATGAAATCACCTAACAGTGCATTTCTCAGGACATACCTCCATCATTAAGCAATGCATGACTGTATAAGGAAGTTTGCGGCTTTATAATGTATTTACCAATGATGGTTACATCAAAATGTGAAAAATGATTCCCTCTTTGTAAACTGCCAAACAGCAACTTCTGCTGTTTATAGTTACTGAACTTTGACATGAACCAAAAGAAGTTAAGAATATTTTTTGCAGAAAGGAAAAGGATGAAAGAGGTAGGCATAATAATTTTTTCAAACGGCAGTGATTAAACTAGAATTCGGTGTAAAAATTGATTAGAGTATGTGAAAGCCTAAACCTGCTATTAATATTTTCATTATAGGTTAGCTATGAAACTTTAGAAATAAGCATAAAGTTACTGGAAGCTCTTAAACTAAATAAGATTGCTTATATATAATAAGTTAGGCTTTTTTTTTTCTTCTTATTTCAATAGCCTTAGGAATACAAGTGATTTTTTTGGTTTCATGGATGGATTGTTGAAGTCTGGGCTTTTAGTGTACCCATGCCCAAATAGTGTACATTGTACCCAGTAGGTAGCTTTTTATCCTTCACCCTCCTCCCATCCTTCACCCTCCTCCCATCCTCTTCCCTGCTGATTCTCCCGTGTCCATTATAGCACTCTGTATGCCTAAGTTAGACATTTTGAATTCAACTTAGAAGCCATTTCTGTCACCGTGAACTGATAGATGCATGAGAAAGAATTAAGTACATTTACTTTGTATTTCTTTTGCAGTTCATTGACTCCACTTGATGCGAGAGATATATTGATGCAAATAGGAAAACAGGAGGATGAGAAAGTAGTTAACATGCACCCTCAAGACTTCAAAACACTTTTTGAAACTATAGAGCGTTCCAAAGATTGTGCTTATAAATGGCTGTATGATGAAACCCTGGAAGATAGGTAGCAACTAGACTGTCGTTTTTGGTGGAGCGGTTCATTTATTTGGAAACTATGACATGAAAACCAAATTTGAAAACTCACATCCTTTCAGCAGAAGGTAACTGTTCTTGTCTTGCACAAGCCAGGCAGATCATTTCTCCTAAGCTGATATCATTGGCTTATTGGATGAAACAGTGTCTGCTATTTTATTCACAATTGAATAAAATGAAAACTTCAATTAATTGTGGATTTGATCAGATTGAATTCGTTTTGTTTCAGATTCCTATTTAAATATTTCACTTGTACTGTTGCTGATTTTTGCATCTTCTTGAAGAGCAAGAGTCTGTACATTATTAAGCTTAGAAAGTAAGCAAAACTGATTTACTGGTTTGCCTTTCAGTTTGTTGAAATGTATTGTCAAGTACTGTACAATGAAATTGTTTAAATTTTAATATGATTTAAGCTTTTTAGAAATTAAAATATTTTAAATAAGAAGATTTTGTGGTTTCTTTTGGTCTCTAAATACCTAATGAAACATTAAACTGACCCTAATTTACTCCTTTTTAGTTCTGTCATGTAGCGTCAATATAGTTTTGGTGAATAATTCAGTCTGTATTACTGAAAAGTCTGCACATTTGTTCTATCAAGAAAATTCATCTGAAGTTGGATATGAACCTAAATGGAATTTATGTGAACCTAAATGGAATTAAGAATATTTTCTTGGCCAGGCACAGCGGCTCACGCCTGTAATCCCAGCACTTTGGGAGGCCAAGGCGGGCGGATCACGAAGTCAGGAGTTCGAGACCAGCCTGGCCAACACGGTGAAACCCCATCTCTACTAAAAGTACAAAAATTAGCCTGGTGTGGTGGTGGGCACCTGTAATCCCAGTTACTCTGGAGGCTGAGGCAGGAGAATCGCTTGGACCTGGGAGGCAGAGGTTGCAGTGAGCCGAGATCATACCACTGCACTCCAGCCTGGGTGACAGAGCAAGACTCAGTCTCGGAAAAAAAAAAAAAAAAAAAAGAATGTTTTCTTGCCAGGAATGGTGGTGTGCACCTGTAGTCCCAGCTACTCAGGAGGTGGAGGAGGGAGGACAACTGAGCCCATGGGTCTAGCCTGGGGGCAACATGGTGAAACCCCCATTTCTAAAAATATTTTATAAAACAGCTGGGCATGGTGGCAGGTTCCTGTAGTCCCAGCAACTTCGGAGGCTGAGGTGAGAGGATCACTTCAGCCCAAGAGTTCGAGGCTGCAGGGAGCTATTATTTATTGTACCTGTGAAGAACCCCCTGCATTGCAGCCTGGGTAACAAAGCAAGACCCATCAAACAAAAAAAAAGTTCCTAGGGTGGGCCAGGCATGGTGGCGCGCGCCTGTAACCCCAGCACTTTGGGAGGCCGAGGCGGGCAGATCACCTGAGGTCAGAAGTTCGAGACCAGCCTGTCCAACACGGCGAAACCCCATCTTTACTAAAAATACAAAAAATTACCCAGGCATGGTGGTGCATGCCTGTAATCCCAGCTACTTGGAAGGTTGAGGCAGGAGGGTCGCTTGATGCCAGGAGGCGGAAGTTGCAGTGAGCAGTGATCGTGCCACTGCACTCCAGCCTGGGTAACAGAGTGAGACTGTCTCAAAAAAAAAAAAAAAAGGAACTAGAGTGTAAGAATGAAGTCAGCTGAGGAGTATTTTTAAATACAGCTCAGAGGGATCAACATGGTTGTAGGAAAAGGGATGGGGTCCTAAGACTGGTAAAGCACATTTTGCTCTTAGCTTAGATGAAAGAAATTGACTACACGTGTTCTTTTTAGATAAATTAATGACCTACAGGTGCCATATTCTCTCAGAAAACACAAGCAGTGTTACTTGAGACAGAATAGAAGAGGAGCTGAGAAGGACGAGGAGTCGTGGTAACTGCTGTGGACAATCGGAATTAAGAAGGGATACTATGGAGGGCCTTTAACAGTGGCTTCAGTATTCTCTACTATTGTATGATTTTCAACAGTAGGACTAGAGTAATGGGGACTGCGGATGATTAGATTAATAAAAGAGGTGCGTTAAGGGAATGCCCATTCTGTTGACATACAGACCTCCAACAGGCAATTTTGGCTCAAAGACTCCCTGTGGCCTGGCTGAATTTTGCTACAGTCCAGTCCTACCCAACCCTCCTTCCTTCCCTCTCTCCTTCCATAGTCAGACCTGCAATCAGTCTGAAGATTTGTCCTGCCTTCTGTTCCTTCTCTAATAAACCTCTTTCACATGTAGTCCTTGACATCTACTTTTCTGTAGACTTGAACTAACACAGGAGTCAAAGAATTTGAAAGTCCCAGGAAGAAAGTGGTTGAAACAGTGAAGCAAGTGCTAGAAAGCTTAGTTTTAAATCGTGAATGCTGGCATTAAGGACACAAAGCACGGAATGATTCCTGGTGATGACAAGGCCCAGCAACAAGTAATTGAGGATTAAGCACTTACAAAAATAATTTACCAAAGGGCCTATTCTTTTTGCTGATGGATGAGGATAATGGACAGTTCCTTTGGATCCCCAAACCTGATGAATTTAGTATACTGTTCAAGTAGACCACTGACAAAGCCTGTTCTCTCTGAAGAAAATTTTTCAGACTGGGAACAGCGGTTTACGCCTGTAATCCCAACAATTCAGGAAGCCAAGGCGGGAACATTGCTTGAGCCCAGGAGTTGGAGACCAGCCTGGGCAACATAGTGGTGAAGTGGCATCGTTCATCTGGGGTAAAACCCAAGGTTCCTTGTCCCATGCCAAGGAAATCAAGGACAGACACACAAGGAGAGAGGTTAAAAATGGAGGTTTAATAGGTGAAAGAAAGAGAAAAGCTCTCTCCTGAAGAGAGAGGAGGTCCCAAGCAGGTCTTCTGGTCTGCAGTGAAGTGCAGGAGGTTTTATAGATGTGCTTGAGGAGGTGGTGTCTAATTTACATAGGGAATGAAAGATTGGTTGGACAAGGTGTGCCGTTTACATAGCATTCAAAGAACTGGTTAGGACTAGGTGTGCTGTTTGCATAGTGCACAAAGAAGCTGGCCGCCCCACCCTAATCTTTTATTATTCAGATGGATTCTCTACCTGGCCGGTGCCATGTTGCCTGCTTTTTTTACTGTACACATGGTGACAAAAGGGAAGATGGAGCCTCCATGTTGAACATGCCTGGCCCCCGGTAGCTTTCTTCTATCAGCACAGGTGCCGGCATCCCCCCGTGCAAGCTTCCAACTTGCTTACCTATGTTTGCAGCTCAATTTTTCAGGCTGCTCTTTGTTAGAAAAGAAATGATTTGGGGGCTGCGTTTTCTTAAAAGGGAAACCTTGCTGAGGACTTATTCACCCTCACTGTCTGCCAAATAATTTCTTTCTAGCTCCTGTATCATATTTCCCCTCTCAGGAGTGGTAACCCTAACTCCTGTTAGGGGGTATTGGGCAATGACTTTCTGGCTACTTCCTGCTGAAGAGAGGGGCATTGAGTGGGGCACAGCAGCTAGAGCTCCTCCTGGAGTCGATCTAAGGGTCCTTGGAAGAATGGCATGTCCATGCGAGGTTCCATCCGCGGCGCCATTTGGAGTTTAATAGCTTCTAGGTGAGAGGAAATAATTCAAGTTACCGTATTGCGTATACAAGGTCCAAATATTAGTACAAAACACACGAGCAAGAGCGGGCTTAAAAAAGGAACTAATCAATTCCATAAAGAAGACTGGAATCCACGTTTTCTCTTAACTTGTCAATGATTCTAATTTGGTCTTTAAGCACCTGTAGGTTCTCTTCTACTTGACTAGAGATGCTGATCCAGAAGCAGCATGTTTCATTTAAAAGTGCACAGGTAGGCCGGGCACGGTGGCTCACGCCTGTAATCCCAGCACTCTGGGAGAGCGAGGCGGCCAGATCACGAGGTCAAGAGATCTAGACCATCCTGGCCAACATGGTGAAACCTCATCTCTACTAAAAACACAAAAATTAGCCAGGCGTGGTGGGGCATGCCTGTAGTCCCAGCTACTTGGGAGGCTGAGGCAGGAGACTTGCTTGAACCCGGGAGGCGGAGGTTGCAGTGAGCCAAGATTGTGTGCCACTGCACTCCAGCCTGGCGACACAGCGAGACTCCATCTCAGAAAAAAAAAGTAAAAAAGAAAAAGAAAAAGTCCTAGCTGACTCAGTGATAGTAAAACCTTCATGTTTACCTGTCGTCAGTAACTATTGTCCCTGCTGTAAGGATAATAATTAAGCAAAATACTTCAGTGATTGAGATTCTTCATCCAATATTCCATTCTGGGGGTGTGACAGTATACAGTCCTACTACAAGTAGAGTGAGCACAACAATTCCTGCAAGGGAGGTATAGTAGATAATTTCCATCTAAAATTTTACTCACCAAGATATAGACTTTCCCTCTGGGGGTCTGTGAAGTTACAAATGTAATCCCCTGGATAATCAAAATCTCTCTGAAAGTACATTTCAAAAAGATGTTTTAATATTTGATGGCAAATCTCGAGAGGAAAAGTAGAAATGACTGAAGGTATATGGTAAGGTAGGGGTGTGACTGAGTAGGTAGAGAAGCCCTCACTCATTTACTTATCTGTTATGATTTTCAGCTTAACATCTTCTATTTCTTCACATTTATATCCAGGACGTTCCTCTGGGCTGTCAGGGGTTGCCTCTTAGCTTTACATGCTTTGACTTGAGTGTGATGTATCCAGGAGTCAATACCTATAACTTGTACTGCTGAGGGGGTTAAAAGAAGAACAGTGTAGAGGCTGGGCGCGGTGGCTTACGCTTGTAATCGCAGCACTTTGGGAGGCTGAGGCACGTGGATCACCTGAGGTCAGGAGTTTGAGACCAGCCTGATCAACATGGAGAAACCCTGTCTCTACTAAAAATACAAAATTAGCCAGGCATGGTGGTACATGCCTGTAATCCCAGCTACTCCAGAGACTGAGTCAGGAGAATCGCTTGAACCCGGGAGGTGGAGGTTGCGATGAGCCAATATCACGCCACTGCACTCCAGCCTGGGCAACCAAAGAGAAACTCTGTCTCAAAAAAAAATAAAAATAAAAATAAATATAAGAAGAACAGAATAGGGCCCTTCCCAGCTTGGGCGTGGGGGAGGAGGGAGAGAAGGGAGAGCTTTCACCAAGACGAAATCCTCTGGGTTAAATAGAGGTGCTCCTGTTTTTGAGGGCTGGGCTTTTGCCAGTTGTGTTCATTGCTGTTGAAAGTGAGCTAGAGGCCGGGCGTGGTGGCTCACGCCTATAATCCCAGCACTTTGGGAGGCCGAGGCGGGCGGATCTCGAGGTCAGGAGATCGAGACCATCCTGGCTAACGCAGTGAAACCCCGTCTGTACTAAAAATACAAAAAAAAATTAGCCAGGCATGGTGGCGGGCGCCTGTAGTCTCAGCTACTCAGGAGGCTGAGGCAGGAGAATGACGTGAAGCCGGGAGGCAGAGCTTGCAGTGAGCCGAGGTCGCGCCACTGCACTCCAGCCTGGGTGACAGAGTGAGACTCTGTCTCAAAAAAAAAAAAAAGAAAATGAGCTAGAGAAGTTACATCCTTAACCAATTCAGAGGTCTCCTGGTCTAATAAGAAATCACTGGTAAGGAAAGGCCATCCATACAGCATTTCAAAAGGGCTCAGACCTAACTTTGAAGGGGTATTTCCTACCCGCAGTAAAGCCATGGAAAGAAGAGTGACCCAAGGAAGGTGAGTTTCTTGAGACAGTTTTCTGATGTGTCTTGATAACATCGTTGGTCATCTCTACCTTTCCTGAGGACTGGGGTCTCCAAGCACAATGGAGATGATACCATATGCC
The DNA here is from genome assembly GCF_000001405.40 of Homo sapiens. Lineage (NCBI taxonomy): Eukaryota > Metazoa > Chordata > Mammalia > Primates > Hominidae > Homo > Homo sapiens. The sequence goes on along the minus strand of NC_000001.11, from coordinate 246,535,242 downwards.
TAGTGCCTTTGAGAACGCCTGTGTGATGGCTGCCTTAAATGAGGGGCCATTGTCACTTTTGAGGTACTTAGGCACACCAGAGTGAGGAGTTATTTCGTTAACTCACCCTTTTATTACTTCAGAGGCCTTTTCTGTACGGCATGGAAATGCCTCTACCCAGTTAGTGAAAGTATCTACCCATACTAGGAGGTATTGGATGCCCTTCATCTTTGGTATATGGGTGAAGTCTATCTGCCAGTCTTCCCCTTGATAGCTTCCCATCCTTTGGGTTTGAGGAGGAAGGAGCTGCCTGTTGAGGGGATTGTTTTTAAGACAGACTTCACAAGCATTAACAACCTATTTGACTGTTTTTAATAAGTTCTCTCCTGAAAACGATCTCTGGGCACACAGATCAGTTATATCCTTTCCCAAGTGAAAAGCTTGGTGAAGGATTTTAAGGGCTTTCCAATGGCTGAAGGCTGGCAAGGGGAGTTTTCCATCCTCTGACTTCAACGGTCCTGAGGGCTGGAAAGTGTACCTTCGAGAGGTGGCCCATTCTATCTCTGCAGGGGAGTACTGAGGCTTCATTTCTCTTACGGAGCCTTCCCAAATTCAAGCGGCTTCAAGTGTGTTGTGCCCTGAGGCTTCCTTGCCACTGACTTGGCTGTCTGATGAGCTAACATGTTTCCTTCAGCTACTTCATCTGTTCCCTTCTGATGTCCCTTACAATGCATCGCTGCTACCCCTTGTGGAAGGAAAACCGATGATAATAACCTGTTAATTTCCTGATGATATTTTATAGGAGATCCATTAGCAGTAAGAAAGTGTTTTTCCTTCCAAATGGCAGCATAAGCATAGAGAACTAAGGAAGCATTCTTGGAGGCAGTGTAAATATTAGCTACTGTTCCCTTCCTTAATTCAAGTGCTCTTATAAGAGCTATTAGTTCAGCTAGTTGAGTGCTTGTGCCTGGAGAGAGGGATGCACTTTAAAAACACCATTCAGAGTGATGACTGCATATCCTGCCTTACAGACTCCTTGCTCTACAAAGGAACTTCCATCTATGAAAAGGGTCCAGCCTGGATTTTGTAGGGGAGTGTCCCTGAGATCCTCCCTGGCTGCATAGGTCTGTACCACAACTTGCTCACAGTCATGTTCAGGTTCCCCAGTTTCCTCGGGGAGGAAAGTGGTTGGGTTTAGGTGAGGACAAGTTTTCAATTGGATTGTAGACCCTTCTAACAGCAGAGCTTGATATTTAAAGAGCCAGCTGTCTGTTAGCTAAAGGCTTCCCCTAGAAGACAGCAATTCTGCTACATTATGTGGGGGTATAAATAGTTAAGTAATTTGCCAGGGTTGATTTGGTGGCATCTGATACCAGTAGGGCCACAGCAGCAACTGCTCAGAGGCATACTGGCCATCCTTTAGCCACAAAATCAAGTTCCTTACTCAGGTAGTCCACTGGCTATTGAGCTGGTCCTTAGGCTTGCATTAAAACTCCCAGGGCCATTCCCTCCTTTCTGATACATAAAGATTGAAGGCCCTCCCTGTGGGAAGGCTGAGGGCAGGTGCCTTACGTAAGGCTTGATTTAGCTGGCTAAATGCCTTTTGAGCTTCAGGTTCCCAGGTCAGGAGATGAGCTTTAGCCACTTAAGTTTCTTTTATGAGGTGATATAAAGGGCGAGCTATCTCAGTGTACCCAGGTATCCATGGTCTGCAAAATCCTCTAATGCCCTGAAATCCTCTTAGTTGCCTGAGGGTTGGGGGAGGGGGAAGGAGGAAATGGGATTAATCCTTTCTTCCCCTAATGCTCTGGTCCCTTCAGACACACTAAACCCAGGTACTTCACTGAGGTTTGGCAAAGCTGGGCCTTGGAGTTTGAAACCTTATGCCCTCTCTTGGCTAAGAAATTCAGAAGAGCTTCAGTGCCTTCCTGAGAAGCTTCCTCAATTGGGGTACAGAGCAATATGTTATCTACATATTGCAAGATCCTAACCTGAGGATGGGAAAACTCAGAAAGGTCCTTTGACAATGCCTGTCCAAACAAGTGAGGACTGTCTCGAAATCCCTGAGGCACCACCATCCATGTTAACTGGGCAGTTTGGCTGGAGGGATCTTTGAAGGTAAATAGGTATTGTGAGTCAGGATGTAATGGTATACAGAAAAAGGCATCCTTTAAATCTAGGACTGAGAACCATTTAGTTCCTTCAGGTATTTGAGTCAGCAAGATATAGGGATTAGGGACCACTGGATGAATTGGGACTATGGCCTCATTAATGAGGCAGAGGTCTAGAACCAGTCTCCATTCCCCATTGGGTTTTTGCACTCCTAATATTGGGGTATTGCAAGGGCTGTTAGAGGGCTTGAGGAAGCCCCTCATCTTCAGGTTATTAATAAGGGCTTCTAGCCCTTTGCTAGCCTCTGGCTTTAGGAGATATTGTCTCTGGTTAGGAAAAGAAGTGGGATCCTTAAGGTGGAACTGAACTGGCTTAGCAGTTACAGCTCAATCTATTCTTCCTTGAGTTGCCCACAATCCTGGATTCATATTACCTTCCACCAGGGGGAGAAAAGTGTTTGTCCTGGGGCTATGAGGATGTTGATCCCCATGCGAGCTGAAATGTCTCTACCTAGTAAAGAGGTGGGACTTTCAGCTATGATTAAGAAGGTGTGCATAAATAATAGATCCCCCCAACTACAACTAAGAGGTTGAGAAAAATATCAGGTCAGAACCTTTCCTGAGATGCTTACAGTTATGCTATGGGAAGAGGGGAAGCCTAGATCAGAGAAGAGAAGAGAGAATCTGGCTCCAGTGTCCAGAAGGAGGTCCACCTTCCTTCCTTCCTTCAATTTCCAGAATCACTCAGGGCTCCTGTGCTGTAATGGTAGTTTAAGCTACTGGATCTGGGGGTTTGAACCCCAAGACCCATCAGTCCTGTTGGACCATCTATGAAACTGGTTCTGAACCTGGTGACCTCTGTCTCTGGGGGCAGTCCGTTCTCCAGTGGTCCCTGCCTCAGGCTGGACAGGATCAAAATGGTTTTTTCTTGCTGCCTGGGCGCTCCTTCTTAAAGTGCCCCGACTTGTCACATTAGTAGCAACTAGCATATGCACCTCGGGGATCCTGGACTTTGCAAGCCTGCAAAGCAGCTACTAGAGTCTCTGTCCTTCTCTTGTGCTTCCTTCCTTTCTCTTGGGCCTCCTCCTGATCCCTATTATAAAAAACTAAGCTGGCTACCCTCAACAGGTTCTCCAAGGTACTATCTGGTCCTATAGCCTGCTTCTGCAGTTTCCTTCTAATATCAGGAGCTGCTTGTGTAATAAACTTCTCCTTTAGGATGAGCTGTCCCTCGACTGAATCAGGGGTTAAGGAGGTGTGTTTTATTAGTGCCTCTCTCAGCCTTTCCATAAAGGCTGCAGGATTCTCATCTGGCTTTTGGCCTATCATGGACAATTTAGAGTAATTAAGGTGTTTGGCCCTAGTTCTTTGTAGGCCCTCCAATATGCACATTAAAAAGTTTTCCTTTTCCATTCATCTGTGGTATCACTGGGGTTCCAATCAGGTTTGTCAGGAGTTACTGCCTTTCTTCCTATTGGGAATGATGGTTCTCCGTTCTTCCTTTCTTCACTTTCCCTATTTTCTCTTTCCCTTTTTGGCCTACTATAGGAGACATATTGCTCATCTCCGAATTTCTCTGCTGCCTTCAGAGCTGCTTGTTTTTCAGCCGTAGTAAGTGTTTGGTTTAGGAGCAGCATAACATTCCTCCATGAGAAGCTAAACACCTGAGTTAAATTTTGGAAAGCTTCTATATATCTATAAGGGTCATCAGAAAATTGACCTAAGTCTTCCCTTATTTTCCTAAGGTTCTGCAATTAGAAGGGAACTTGAACCTTAGTGGCATCACCTCCATTGGGCATTTCCTGTAGGGGGATGTGGGGAGTTTCAGAGGTGGTAGGGCTGAAGGAGCTAATGGCATGGTTGGAGGGGGCCCCAGAGAAGGGGGACAACAAGGGCCTGGACACTCAATAGCTGCCTCAGATTGTTCCCCTGGAAGTTGCTTCTCTAGTTTTGGGGAGTCATTCCCTTTTGGCCCGTCTGATATGACTGCTAAAAAAGTTGAGTCAATTGTGCAACACTTGCAAAGGTCTGGGTTGTCTTGCAGGGCAAAGAAAGCTTGTACATAGGGGATCTCGGACCATTTGCCCTCCTGTCTGCAGAAAAGATCTAATTGTTGGATAGTATTAAAATCAAAGCTCCCCTCCACAGGCCAGGCTGGTTCAAGATGATAAGAAGGCCATGCCCTTGCGCAAAAGAAAATGAGCTGCTTTTCCTTCAAAGTCTTGGGGTCAAAGGAGTCCCAGTGATTCAGAATGCATTCCAGAGAAGTACAGGCTGAAGTTGGTCTTTACCCATCTAGAAAGAGAAGCAAGAAAAAGGCATCCCTTTGGTCTCCCTCCTTCAATGGCTCAGGATGGAGGGGAAGACAGTGGGGTCGACCCCCCAACTGTTTTTCCTTCCTTGGTTCCCTGAGCCCTGGCATCTGTTAAAGGTGCTGCCCAGTAATGCAGATATGACCCTCAGCCATGGAATCGGAGGAACTAAGCAAAGGGATTAGTCACATTCATCCATGTGACTCTAGTCCTCTGCTGGTGATTTCCCTTTGACTTCTTAGACTTGTGTGACCTGTGTGGTTCCCCAATAGATAGATCTTGGGGAGGACTATGTAACAGTTGCATTTGGGCAAGGCCCCTTAATGGAGGGAGTGTGCTGGTTTGAGCTCTACAGTTTGTTATTATGGTCTATACTAAAGTATTTATTCTTAGGTAGTGGCTCCAGTTAACTTCCGGGCATAAAATCTACTTATTAATTTTTTTTTTTTTTTTTTTGAGATGGAGTCTCACTCTGTTGCCCAGGCTGGAGTGCAGTGGTGCAATCTTGGCTCACTGCAACCTCTGCCTGTCAGGCTCAAGAAATTTTCCTGCCTCGCTGGCCATGGTGGCTCATGCCTGTAATCCCAGCACTTTGGGAGGCTGAGGGGGGTGCAGATCATGAGGTCAGGAGTTCGAGACCATTCTGGCCAACATGGTGAAACCCCGTCTCTACTAAAAATACAAAAAAAAATAGCTGGACGTGGTGGCACGTGCCTGTAATCCCAGCTACTCGGGAGGCTGAGGCAGGAGAATTGCTTGAACCAGGGAGTTGGAGGTTGCAGTGAGCCGAGATCGCACCACTACACTCCAGCCTGGGTGACACAGCGAGACTCTGTCTCAAAAAAAAAAAAAAATTTCCTGTCTCAGCTTCCTGAGTATAGGCACACGCCACAACACCTGGCAAATTTATTGTATTTTTAGTAGAGATGGTGTTCCACAACGTTGGCCAGGCTGGTCTTGAACTCCTGACCTCAGGTTATCTGCCTGCTTTGGCCTCCCAAAGTGCTGCGATTATAGGCGTGAGCCACTACACCCAGCCTAAGTACCATTTTAATTGGAGGCAGAATATTCTGGTGCCTTGAAAGAACGTAGGACTGAATGGTGGTTTTCCTGCTGATGGGACAGTATCAAGATTAAAATTTGGTTTTGGAGGACATTTTCCTTCTCATCGTTGAGTTTTCCCATTTACTGAAGGGGCAGAAAGCCTGGTGTCTAGTAGAGGGGTTCAAAAAGGGAGAATTGGGAAGCTGGAATGTTTCTGCAAAGGGCTGACAATGTGCCTCATGGAGAGGATTCCTACTCCGCTAGGTGGCGATTTTGACCTTGAAATACCATGTGCTCTCCAGACCAAGGGTAAAGAGAGAGATGCTCACTGCAGTGGGGTGGGGGTTTGGGGGCAGTTGGGGAGGCCCTCTGTTTCTAGAAAATCAAGAAAACAGCAATCCCTTATGGCATTTCCTGATCTCGCCTAACAGGATTACTTCCCTGAACTGTAAAAATTCCTGCAGCATTGCATACAGAGAGTGGATAGGAGATATGGTGGTCATGAAAAGGAGAAGAGGAAAATTGCGATAGAAGAAGCTTGGAGACCCGGTTGCCATCACCCATTGGGCTGTCAGAGGCTGGGGTTAGTTCAGAAGCCTACAGGTAACACTAGGGTGTGGCCTTGGCCAGGAACCCTCAGTTGCCCCTGGACCTCATCCAGCCCCATGTGATGGCTAGGTTCTCTGTGAAAGGAAATGGGTTTGAAACAAAGCCAACATTCCCGGCACCCTGAGGACACTGTGAGACTCGCTAAGTCCTCCCAGGCAAGCCTGTCCCCTGAGTTTTATTTATTAATTAATGTATCAAAAATAATAAATTGCTCAACATGAAAATGTCTCTTTAGGAAGATGCACCACATTTATCCCAAGGATTCACACATTCTCTGCACACCTGTTTTCCCAGGGCTGGGGTACTCCAGCTGAAGGACTGTGGTTCTGATCTGCCTCCTTTATTATAGGTATAATCCAGTTACCAAGATGTGACTGTCAGGAGTGAAGGTGCTATTCAGGTCAACTTCACAGTTGTTCAATCCTCAACAGATTTAAACAATGAATCAAAGAAAGAAAAGGAGGGCACCAGCACTGATGACGCCAGCAATCCAACTACTAAAGAGTTTGAAACCTTAATTAAAGACCTTTCAGCTGAAAATGGTTTGGAATGCCTCACGTTACTCTCCTCCTCAAATCTGGCTCTTTATTGATACCATTCCTACAAAGAGGCATCACGGTTCGTCAGAAGACACGACAAACATCCAGTGAGGAAGGGCAGCCGTCAAAGGTTTTAGTCTCCAGGAGTAGAGGTTCTTGAGGGCTGTAAGCAGCAGGCAGAAGCCTTTATTATATGTGTGGTTAGTTAATGGCAACCTACAGGTTGCCCTGGAACTGTGATCAAGAATGACCCGACCTCCTACTCATGCACCTCTCTCCCTGTCTCTCTCTTTGCTTTTTATGTCTCTCTCCCTATCTCTCTCTCTCCTCTTCCTCTCAGCCTCCTCTGTCTCTCTCCCTATCTCTCTTTCTCTGTTTCTTCCCCCATCTCTCTTCCTCTCTTTCTGTCTCACTCTCTTCTCCCCAACTCTCTTTCTCTCTCCTTCTTCTCCACTTCTTTCTCCCTCCTCGTCTCCCTCCCTGCCACCGTTGAAGCTCCTGGGACCCCACGTGGATGGGCGCACACAGGACTCCTAGGCCACCTTTCAGGGCATACACACAGGGATAGAGCACATTGGTCCCCCACCTCCCAGCGCCCTCAAGGTCAGGGGTGTGGGGCATACCTGTGCTCTCCTGGGTGGGCACCCCACGATCCAGGAAGCAGAAGTCACAGGTCACCACTGGCTTGAGTGGCACACCCACTAGGCTGCCAGCTTCCATCTTGTGATCTGCTGAGACCAAAGCAGAGGACACGTGCCCAGGCCCAGCTGGGGTAGGGGTGTGCTTGGGGGTGGGGGTGAGGATGGGAGCAGCCACTGCAAACTGGTCTCTGGCCAGCTTCCTGTCCTGCCCTGCCATGCAAGGCCTCCTCTCTCACCCTTCCCCCTGCCCTCACCAGCTTCACCCTGTGCCTGAAAGCCATAGGCACAGGCTCCAGAAGTCTCCCTGGATCCAGGAACTAAGGGCAACCCCTGGGCTCCACAGCCTCTAGACTAGGTGCCAGCGGCCCTCTCTGTGAGCTGACAGAGCTTGGCTCTTACTTACGTCCTGCCCCAAGCCAGCCACACACCTCCCCCCTCAGCATAACCACTTCCTCCTGACTTTAGCCCTGACAGTCCTGCTTCCTGGTAACCTTCCCCCCTCCAACCATGGTCCAGGCAAGCCCAAAGGCCAGCACCCTACACCCCACCCTTCCTGGGTGCCACTCTATTGTCTGCTTGCCCAGATAACTTAACCTGGTTTTACCAAGATAGAACAAATAACAAGGACGAACCCCCAGCCTCTCCCAGGAAGATGTGGCAAAATGCTCTCCATTTAGAAGCAGGAACAGTGACAGGACCTAGGGATGACCCAAAGCTTGTCACCCAAGCAGCAAGAAGGGCAAGGAGCCCAGTTTCATGCCCTCACCCTGGGAGGACGTGGCCAGGGCTCCATCGTGCCCTGCAGGGGGCTGGCAGGAGAGCAGAGCCACCCTCCTTTTGAGGGAACAGGCCGCCACGCCGGGAAGCCACAGATGGGGATGCACAGGCAGAGCCCCAGCGTGCTGTAGAGCAGGGCCAGCAGATCAGATCTGCACTCAGCCTGAGCCCTGGGGGAGCCACGAGACAGAGTGAGCCTCTGATAGGTTTGACTCTGTGTCCCCACCCAAATCTCATCTTGAGCTGTAATCCTCATGTGTCAAGGGAGGAACCTGGTGGGAGGGGATTGGATTTGGGGGCAGTTTCTCCCATGCTGTTCTCCTGATAGTGAGTGAGTTCTCAGGAGAGCTGATGGTTTTAAAATGTGGAGCTTCCTCATTCTCCACTCACTCCCTCCTGCCGCCTTGTGAAGAAGGTGCCTGCTTCCCCTTCGCCTTCCGCCATGATTGGAAGTTTCCTGAACTGCGAGTCAATTTAGCTGCTTTCCTTTATAAATAACCTAGTCTCTGGTATTTCTTTATAGCAGTGTGAAAATGAACTAATGCAGACCCCTTCTCTGAAGTTCCTTCTGCTTAGGCCACCAGCTGCCCCCATGCTCCCTCCTTTGCCCCATGGTCTTACTTTCCCCCTCATTAGGCCCACGTGATCCACACGGCCAGCCCCAGCCCCGTCCTACTGCAGACCTGTCAGGCTCCTTTCCTGACCCTGAAGCTGGCTGATATGCTCTCTGGATCCTGGAGGAGATTGACCCCTACCTGCATCCTGGTGGCAACTTCTTCCAAGACTTCAAAGCTGGACAATGTGAGCAGGTCTGTTTCTTTTTCTTTTTCTTCTTTTTTTTATTATTATACTTTAAGTTTTAGGGTACATGTGCACAACGTGCAGGTTTGTTACATATGTATACATGTGCCATGTTGGTGTGCTGCACCCATTAACTCGTCATTTACATTAGGTATATCTCCTAATGCTATCCCTCCCCCCGCCCCCCACCCCACCACAGTCCCCGGTGTGTGATGTTCCCCTTCCTGTGTCCAAGTGTTCTCATTGTTCAATTCCCACCTATGAGTGAGAACATGCGGTGTTTGGTTTTTGTCCTTGTGATAGTTTGCTGAGAATGATGGTTTCCAGCTTCATCCATGTCCCTACAAAGGACAAGAACTCATCATTTTTATGGCTGTATAGTATTCCATGGTATATATGTGCCATATTTTCTTAATCCAGTCTATCATTGTTGGACATTTGGGTTGGTTCCAAGTCTTTGCTATTGTGAATAGTGCCACAATAAACATACGTGTGCATGTGTCTTTATAGCAGCACGATTTATAATCCTTTGGGTATATACCCAGTAATGGGATGGCTGGGTCAAATGATATTTCTAGTTCTAGATCCCTGAGGAATGGCCAAACTGTCTTCCACAATGGGTGAACTAGTTTACAGTCCCACCAACAGTGTAAAAGTGTTCCTATTTCTCCACATCCTCTCCAGCACCTGTTGTTTCCTGACTTTTTAATGATTGCCATTCTAACTGGTGTGAGATGGTATCTCATTGTGGTTTTGATTTGCATTTCTCTGATGGCCAGTGATTGTGAGCATTTTCTCATGTGTGTTTTGGCTGCATAAATGTCTTCTTTTGAGAAGTGTCTGTTCATATCCTTTGCCCACTTTTTGATGGGGTTGTTTGTTTTTTTCTTGTAAATTTGTTTGAGTTCATTGTAGATTCTGGATATTAGCCCTTTGTCAGATGAGTAGGTTGCAAAAATTTTCTCCCATTCTGTAGGTTGCCTGTTCACTCTGATGGTAGTTTCTTTTGCTGTGCAGAAGCTCTTTAGTTTAATTAGATCCCATTTGTCAATTTTGGCTTTTGTTGCCATTGCTTTTGGTGTTTTAGACATGAGCCGGTCTTTTTCATTGTCTCTACTTGCTAGGGCTGTCATTGGGTTGTTATACTGTATTGTTTAGGGAATGGTGACAGGAAAAAAGTCTGTACATGTTCAGCAGAGACATAGCCATCCACACTCCCTTTTCTGAATATTTTCCACCCACTGTTGGCTGAATCCACACATGCAGAGCCCACGGATACCAGGGCCAACTGTGCTTTGAGGGTAGGATGGGTGAGGTTACTAATGAGTACAGGGGAGCAGGTGTTAATGAGGAGGGCCCTGCATTGGGACATCTGGACCCCCTGTGTCTCAGGACTCGAGCCTGCAGGTTTGGATGGCGCAGGCAAACCCAGCCCAGGTCAAAGCCTTCCCCTTAAACCTTCTTTTTATCCCAAGCTCTTTCTGGTCTCCGGAACTCGGCATCCCCTAGGCCCTGGGTGGAAGGACAGGTGAGCCAGATTTCAGATCACATTTCTAGAAGAGTGAGCCCCTACAGGGTGCCAGGCACTTTCCCCACAGGACCCTCTACCTAGAATAACCAAGGGTCATGGAGAGAAACATATCATTAAAATATCAGAAATACAAAAAGGGATACCATTAAGAGTTCCTACAGATACTGAAAGGTTATTAGGTAATAGTATTAACATTTTTATTCTGATATTCAACAGCAACAGTAACTTCCCTCCACCCCTATGTGTATCCCAGGACCACCCTGGTTGGGGAGGGCTGAAGTTAGGGAGCACCCATGGATGCTCTGATGCTGGTCCTGGGCCTCGGGGGTAACAGTGATGAGGAACTGGGTGCAGACATGAGTGGGGCAGCCAGGCCTGGCCAGAGAAGCAACACACAGGTGCACAGATGTGTTTACCCACATACACATGTGCACACAAGTGCACACATTGCATGCAGGCATGTTGACGCCTCAGGCAGTGGAGGACGCTGACTCTGGGCTCTGATGACCCAGGCAAGGCCCCACTGTGATGTGTGCCATGACCTCAGAATGTCACTGGTGCTGAGCACCCGCTCGCCCTCCAGCCTGCCTCTGTGTTCCAGAGCAGTTGCACACGCACAGTGCTATCTGTGAGCAGTTCTGTGTTCATGAGAGTTTGCTACATGAGAGGCATAACTCAGCCCAGCCAATTCATCAGAATCAGGTGAGTGTGACATTCTCCCTTCCCTTCATGCTGACTTGGGGACAGTGGCTATGGGGTGGGTAGTGCTGGCCTCTGGGCAGCTGCCGAGGAGGGTCATCCCTGGGCACTCACCAGGTGCCTGTTCTGTGCTGCCCAGGCAGACGATACACATATGGGTGGAGGGAAGTGACTGCTGCTGTTGAATATCAGAATAAAAATGTTAATACTATTACCTAATGACCGTTTCAGTATCTGTAGGAACTCTTAATGGTATCTCTTTTTGTATTTCTGATCTTTTAATGATATGTTTCCTTCGTCCTCATGGTGGCTCCATAGGGTGGGTGCTGCTCCCAAATGTGCCCATTAGACAGGTGAGACATCTGGGGTCAGAGAGGCGGTAACTGGGTAACCCCAAGAATCCAGATGTGACCCTGGGTTGTGCTCTCACCCCTGCCCTGTGCCGTGCTGGACTTAAGTCCTGAACCCTGTGACCTCCCTGCCCTAAATCCCAAATGTGTCCAGGGTTCCAGATCCCAATGGGGCAGAGCTTGGCCCTGGCAGAGCTGCTGGGATGGATCCACTGTGGGTGGGGTGGAGGGGAGGGGCCTCAGAATACCTCTGTGCCCTAAGCTGGGTCCTGATGGTCTCTGTGGGACCCACTGGACACACACAGTTCCCTGTCTGGGAGTGGATGGGGAGCCTTCTGCCTTTGGGCAGTTGTGGAAAATGAAGGAGCCCTGGAGGGCTGCCTGGATGGAGACTATCTTCCCTCCTGTTCAAAGGGGTACAGGCACTGGCATTCTCTTCAAGTATTTCTTTCTCAGTTTGGTCCTCCAGAGGCCTCGCCTCCCTTTTGCCCCGAGTGGTCCCAGGAGGAATCGTTCATCTCGGTGTTCTCCAGGACCAAGAACCCAGAGTTCTCCTGTTCTTTCTCAGTGACCCGGGAAAATGAAGCCCCCCACACCCTGTATGGATAGCTCAGAATTGTGGAGTCCACCGTCCCTCCCCCAGCGTCATGGTTTCCACCAGCACAGAGGCTGCTTTGGAGACAATAGATCATTTTCTTCCCCCAAAGCAAACACCTTCCTGCTCAACTGGCATGATTCCTAAAGCGGCTTCACTGGTCAGACTGAAGGGCCATGGTAGCCCAAGTGATGAGTGGAGTAGAATTGGGAAGTCAGGAGATATCTTGTTGTCCATAGAAAACTGGGCAACTTTGTGGTTTCTGAGCGATCCCAAGAGGCTGATCATACAGAGACCTCTGGTCCCTGACCCCAGTCTGCCTCCTCATCTCTGGAATCACAGGCTCTTCACCCCCGGCAGGTGGACACCTTTCATTCTGTTGGGATAGATATGTTCCCATTTCATGGCATTTGGGGACAACGGGATTCTCTGTCCAGGTCCCACTATTCTCAAGTCCTTAGGAAGGAGGCACTCCTGCTTGGGGCCTGAGACTCCAGAGACCCGTGCAGGTGTGGGCCACTGTGTCTGGCCCCTTTTCACCTGGAGGTGGTGATGGAATGGGGGTCACACACCGCCAGCATCTGGGAGCCCGGCAGGAGTGGCTCAGGTGTTCTCCGAAGCTCTCGGGTACAGTGTCACCTTTGGACGATTTGTCTCATGGGATGGACATGGGAGAGAATGTGGATACCCTGCTGGCACAGGAATGAGGGGACATCATTACCAAGTATGAGCAGGTACAGTCAGTCTGCTCCCTGGACGGAGGCCTCTCCCAGTGCGCCCTGCTCAAAGGGTCCTGGGCTCCCCAGGAGCACAGGTGGTGACAAGTTGACAACACCCCCAGGCCCTTGCACCTTTTACCTTGGATGCCTCACCCTGGCTCCCTCTGGGTTTCAGGGATGTGGAACTGGGCTGCCAGCGGACATATAGCCTGGGCATGTTAACATCTACAAGATCTCTGATTGCCTTGGGATTCTGCAGTGAGTTCTCTGTGCTCCTCTCACCCTCTAAAGCACAAATCTCAGCTCAGGGATGGGTTTCGCTTTTAGAAAGGTCTTTCTGAGGCAGGATGTGTCTCCTTGGCTTGGGCCTACCTCTTTTCTAGGGTAGAACTCCTCCCGGGCTCCCCTGCAGGTCCAGCCTGTGATTGTTGTTAGGCCAGAGGTGCGTGGCTCATCTAGGGAGCGTGGTTGATCTAGGGAGCGTGGTTCATCTAGGGAGCGTGGCCCATCTAGGGAGCGTGGTTCATCTAGGGAGCGTGGCCCATCTAGGGAGCGTGGCCCATCTAGGGAGCATGGTTCATCTAGGGAGCGTGGCCCATCTAGGGAATGTGGTTAATCTAGGGAGCGTGGCCCATCTAGGGAGTGTGGCTCATCTAGGGAGCGTGGTTCATCTAGGGAGCATGGCCCATCTAGGGAGCGTGGCCCATCTAGGGAGCGTGGTTCATCTAGGGAGCGTGGCCCATCTAGGGAGCGTGGTTCATCTAGGGAGCATGGCCCATCTAGGGAGCGTGGCCCATCTAGGGAATGTGGTTCATCTAGGTAGCGTGGCTCATCTAGGGAGCGTGGTTCATCTAGGGAGTGTGGCTCATCTAGGGAGCGTGGCTCATCTAGGCAGTGTGGTTCATCTAGGGAGCGTGGCCCATCTAGGGAGCGTGGCTCATCTAGGGAGAGTGGTTCATCTAGGGAGCGTGGCCCATCTAGGGAGCGTGGCCCATCTAGGGAGCGTGGTTCATCTAGGGAGCGTGGCTCATCTAGGGAGCGTGGCTCATCTAGGCAGTGTGGTTCATCTAGGGAGCGTGGCTCATCTAGGGAGAGTGGTTCATCTAGGGAGCGTGGCCCATCTAGGGAGCGTGGCTCATCTAGGGAGAGTGGTTCATCTAGGGAGCGTGGCCCATCTAGGGAGCGTGGCCCATCTAGGGAGCGTGGTTCATCTAGGGAGCGTGGCTCATCTAGGGAGCGTGGCTCATCTAGGCAGTGTGGTTCATCTAAGGAGTGTGGCCCATCTGGGGAGTGTGGCCCATCTAGGGAGCGTGGCTCATCTAGGGAGAGTGGTTCATCTAGGGAGCGTGGCCCATCTAGGGAGCGTGGCCCATCTAGGGAGCGTGGTTCATCTAGGGAGCGTGGCCCATCTAGGGAGCATGGTTCATCTAGGGAGCATGGCCCATCTAGGGAATGTGGTTAATCTAGGGAGTGTGGCCCATCTAGGGAGTGTGGCTCATCTAGGGAGCGTGGTTCATCTAGGGAGCGTGGTTCATCTAGGGAGCGTGGCCCATCTAGGGAATGTGGTTCATCTAGGGAGCGTGGCCCATCTAGGGAGCGTGGTTCATCTAGGGAGCGTGGCCCATCTAGGGAGCGTGGTTCATCTAGGGAGCGTGGCCCATCTAGGGAGCGTGGTTCATCTAGGGAGCGTGGCCCATCTAGGGAGCGTGGTTCAGCTAGGGAGCGTGGCCCATCAAGGGAGCATGGTTCAGCTAGGGAGCGTGGCCCATCTAGGGAGCGTGGCCCATCTAGGGAGTGTGGTTCATCTAGGGAGTGTGGCCCATCTAGGGAATGTGGTTCATCTAGGGAGCGTGGCCCATCTAGGGAGCGTGGTTCATCTAGGGAGCGTGGCCCATCTAGGGAGCGTGGCCCATCTAGGGAGCGTGGTTCATCTAGGGAGCGTGGCCCATCTAGGGAGTGTGGTTCATCTAGGGAGCGTGGCCCATCTAGGGAATGTGGTTCATCTAGGGAGCGTGGCCCATCTAGGGAGGGTGGCTCATCTAGGGCGCGTGGTTCATCTAGGGAGCATGGCCCATCTAGGGAGCATGGCCCATCTAGGGAGCGTGGCCCATCTAGGGAGCATGGCCCATCTAGGGAGCGTGGCTCATCTAGGGAGCGTGGTTCATCTAGGGAGCGTGGCCCATCTAGGGAGCGTGGCCCATCTAGGGAGCGTGTTTCATCTAGGGAGCGTGGCCCATCTAGGGAGCGTGGTTCATCTAGGGAGTGTGGCTCATCTAGGGAATGTGGTTAATCTAGGGAGCATGGCCCATCTAGGGAGCGTGGCTCATCTAGGGAGCATGGTTCATCTAGGGAGCGTGGCCCATCTAGGGAACGTGGTTCATCTAGGGAGCATGGCCCATCTAGGGAGCGTGGCCCATCTAGGGAATGTGGTTCATCTAGGGAGCGTGGCTCATCTAGGGAGTGTGGTTCATCTAAGGAGCGTGGCCCATCTAGGGAGTGTGGTTCATCTAGGGAGCGTGGCCCATCTAGGGAATGTGGTTCATCTAGGGAGTGTGGCTCATCTAGGGAATGTGGTTAATCTAGGGAGCGTGGCCCATCTAGGGAGCGTGGCCCATCTAGGGAGTGTGGTTCATCTAGGGAGTGTTGCTCATCTAGGGAGCAGGTGGGAATGGAGAGGGGACTAGGTCAGGCCCCTGGGCTCTCAGCAGTTCTGTCTCCAAGTTAGCAGAAGAGGAGGCAGGCAGCTTGAGGGTCTGGCCCTGTCCACTTGGACACTATCCTAGTGAGATCCAAGGGTTGTGGCCACAGGGTGAGGGGGCACCTGGTCCAGCCTTGGGGCAGCTGTCCAGCAGGTCTCTGAGGGGCCCACCTGCCCTTCTTCTCCCCATTCCCCTAGGGCCAAAGCCCTCACTGTCCCCATGCCCTTCCGCATGGACCATGCCATGGTTCCCCCAAGGACCATGCCCTTCCCCATGGGGACAGTGAGGGCTGTGGGCCTAGGGGAATGGGGGAGAAGATGGGCAGGGTCCCCCATTCTAGGCATTCTGGCCAGGCGGGCAGCAGAGCTTGTGGCTAAAGGCCCTGGGTCTGGTACTGGGACGGTATCTGGGGCCAGATAAGAGAGCCCAGCCTGGAGCCAATCCCTCAGGGGTCACAGGATGGAAAGACAGAGGACCCTGGGGGAGGTGGGATGGGAATAAGCCCATGGGCTGTGCCACGTCGGAAATGCACCCCAATGGAGCTGATTGTCTGGGGAGGACAATAGATGGGGTGGGGCTGAAAACACCAGCTCACCTGGGACTTCTCAGCAGAGGGAGTCAGTCCATCCCCAAGATTCTACGTGGCTTTCCAGGGACTCTGCTTCCAGTTGGCTTGGACAGCACAGTGGGCAGAGGGTGATCGGGGGACTGACCTGGGGCAGGCAGGATAGTTGGGGAGAACGGCCAGGTGTCCCGAGTTCCATCTGCTGCAGTGTCTGGGAGGAGGCTGAGGGCTGACAGCCAATGGCTCCGAAAGCCAGGTGAGGCAGGAGGTGGGGCCAGGAGGCTGTCCTGGAAGCCTGTGGGGCCCTCGGTCACCCAGGCCACCCCTGGCATCTCTCGAGCAGGCAAGGCAGGCATGAGAACAGATCCGGGGAGTCTCACTCAGGGGTTCTGACAGGACCAGAGTCAAAGCAGACCCAGGGTGGCTGGAGAGACGTTCACAGTTTTTGGGTTGGACAGGATGGCGGAAATCAGGGAAAAAGCAGGGTGTGTGGCTCAGGTGCAGGGAGAGGCAGGTGGGCTCCAGGTGGTCAGACTCTGCGAGGACCTTGGGAGTGTCAGGTGGGATGGGCCCCGGGTGCACCAGGCAGGTCTCAGGCCAGGCACCCAAACCCCAGCAGGGTGATGCGGTCACTCCCTGAGAGACTCCCGTCCGGGCGTGGCCACCCACCCTGGGCAGCAGCAGTCCCATCTCAGAGCTGACGTTTCTGAGCTCCAGCAGAAAACACCACCTCCAGTCCAGGAGGGGCAGCCCCATTGTGCAGCCTGACCATCCCCCACACCAGGGGCCCCTCCTGGGAGTCTGCCCCACAGGGCCCTTGTCCTCCCTTCCCTGTGGCTTCTCCCGAGCTGAGACCTGGGATGGAAGGGGACAGAGCCAGTCCTTTCTGGGGGTGGACTCCTGGACCGGGATGGCTCCAGGCCCTGCGCAGGTCCTCAGCTCTGTCAGGTGCCTTCCAGTGAGACAGAGTTGCCCCCTGTCAATGCCCTGGAGGTGAAGGTAAGAGCCTGTCCCTGATGCTTGGGGAGCTGGTCCAGGGATGGGGACTCAGTGGGTGTTCGGTGAGGCAGAGGAGGCAGCGGGCCTGGGTGGTGGTGGGTGGGAGGGAGCAACATACTGTCACTGGGAGGGGCAGCTGTCCCTGCTGGACCTGACCCCAAGTCTCTGTTTCTCTGGCAGTTTGCCGAAATTTCAAAGTGAGAACAACAGTCGTGGCTTGGGGGTGGCTGCCCGCTTGTGTCAGGATACCACCTAGAGGCTGTGACCCGACCTAAGACTGGTGTGTCTGTGGCCTGAGGATGGCACGTCCCAGGGTCACAAGGCCAGCCCACTGGCGCTCATTTGCTCAGAGGGTCTCAGCCCCCAGGGTCTGCCCTTCCCTAGCTCCTTCCAGCTGGGTCCCACTAGAGCTCCAGAACCCAGGACCCAGCATCCGTGGGCCACTCCGGGAAGCATGGCGGCTCCACTAACTCCAACATTCCTCATTTGACAGCAAATGTGACAGGACATGAGACACATGGAAAAGTGGCTGAAGATGCTGGGAGAATGGCAGAAATATAGGATGAGCAAGAAGGTAATGTGGGGAGGGAGAGGCCTGCAGAACCACTGTCTGCAGAGTCAGGGGGACAGGCACCCTTGGCTGTGGGCTGGCACCATCTGCCTCTTAGAGAGCGGGTAGCACCCTGTCCTTACTCAGACGACAGCAGGCCTGGTCGCCAGCTTTGCTGCCCATTCGTGCGCTCGTCACCTTGCTGGGAGGGAATCTGATGCCAGGGCTGGGGCCACCGTAGATCAGGGCTAGGGAAGCCTCCTGGTGAAGGAACAGGTGTAGATCAGAGTTCAGACTCTGAGTGCTGACCCACTCTTTCAGCCCTGGGAGGAGAGACCCTGTCCCAGCTTGACCTCACCTGTATTGAGGAATCATGGGGCCAAAACCAGAGACTTCCAGAATCCTTGGGGTCTGGTCCTTGCTGAGGTCACCCTGTGGCCTGTGTCACCAGATCAGTTGTCTGCCAGAGTGTACAAAGGCATTCTCCTGAAGGTCTGGGGCTGGGTGTGGTCAGTCCTGCTAAACATTGAGGAAACCAAGCCTGAGAACCCTGGGAAATATGAGGTATACTCAGCCAGAGCACAACAAACAGGCCAGGCTGTGTCAGGAGCCCAGGTCTCCAGATGGAGGGAACATCGAGCCCAGCTTATCGGTGGGGCTGGGGTGGTCAGAAGCATATCCTGGGCAGACGGTGACATAGGCACCCCAAATGAGCTCAGCTCTGGTGACCCTCCCTGGCTTCAGAAACAAGCCAAAAAGCAGCTTTCTGCAGAAGGAAACCTTCCTTTTTTCCCTCCTTCCACGAGTGCTGACTGTGGGCTGACTGCCATCTGGGGCAGGGGTCCTTCCATCTGTTCTGAGGCTGCTTCCTCCTCCTGGCCATGCCCTACAGGTCATGAAAGAAAAGGGCAAGAGGTCCTCTGAACCTATCCACCAGATTGACCTGGAGGTGAGCCGGACACTGAGGAATCACATAATATTTAGGAAATGATATGGCATCAGGTAAGCCTATGGGGGCCACAGGGTCCCAGCAGAGATGAAGTGAACCAGAGGGATGGAGACTTCCCCAGAGCAAAAACCAGCTTCACCCAGGAGGGATGACGGAGCTGCCAAGGGCTCTCCTGGCCCAGGGAGGAGCCCGTACCATGCACTGAGGACCTCCCAGGTTCCAAGCTCTGGGCCAGGCTAGAACATGTGGGGCCAGAACCCAGAAGGATCCTGAGGAGACAGAAGGCAGCAAACAAAATCATGCACAATGGTGAAAAGTGCTCTCCCTGACCCATGGGACCCATGGTATGGACCCATGGGTGGGGGGCAGCAGGATGGAGGGCTGGTGAACCTCCTCTGGCAACACCGACAGCACCCAATGCTGGGGGGGGGGGGGACCTGGGGCCCCGGAGACTCCTCTGGCGACACCGACAGCACCCAATGCTGGGGGCGGGGGCATTCGGGGCCCCGGAGACTCTCATCCACAGCTGGTGGAAATGTGACATGACACAGCCACTTTGGAAGCCAGTTGGGCAGTCGCTCGCAAAGCTCAGTGGACTCAAACCACACATCCCCGAAGTGTCACAGACATTGAACCAACTGATTTGAAAACTGACATCCACACTGTAGAAAGTAAAAAGTTCCTTTTCAAAGTTTCCCTTCTTGTTAAAGAATAAATCATAAGTGTTAGAAATAACAGTTTCCTTTAAAGACTAATTTCCTTCAAGCCTCCTTGCTTTGTGCTAATAACTCTTTGTTAAGCCCTATTCTACACAGCTGTTAGATATAAAGGAATAAGTACATTCTATGTCCTCGTACTTCAATCAGGGTTATCTGTGCTGGACGTGCTCACAGGCAGGTCCCAGCTTGAAGCCTGTGCCCCTTCCTTATTTGGGAATGTTATTACTTTTCTAAGTCTTTTCATAAGCAGCTTCCTCTTTTCCTTTGTTCTCCATTGCTTTCAGCTATTTAGAGACATTTTAAATTATTAGCCAGTCAGATTTAGTTTAGATTGTATGGCCCAGCTCCAGCCAATGGAGACAGGACACAGTAGCAGGGACAAGCTGCATAAAGGATAAAAATTGCTTCCCTCTTTTATTCAGGTGTGCTCTCACCATTGTTCCATCTGTGAGGAGCACCCTTTCTGCAGAAGGTAAAATTGCCTTGCTGAGAAAACTTTTTGTCTAAATGCTGATGTTTCTTTGTGGTACTAAGGATCAAGCATTCTGTTTCTAAATAAACATTTTACTTAACACACATGAAACATGCATGCCACATTCACTGCTTGATTCATCGTCACTCACACACAGAGGCCATGGGGACAACCTTCAACATGGGAATGGGGAGAGGATGGGTGGCCCTCCCTTCAAAGGAAAAAAGACTCAGTGAGAAAAGTGAATGAGCCAGTGATGCCCACATGAACGTCAGTGGATCTTAGTTGCATTTTGCTAAGGGAAAGAAACCAGACCCAACAAGCTACCTCTGTAGGGTTCCAATTAATAGGCCATTCTGGAAAAGGCCAAATCACAGGGACAGAAAACACGTTGGGATGGCCAAGGGCTGATGGACCGGGAAGAGGTTGGCTACATAGGGGACACCCTGGAGACTTGGAGGATGAAGGAATCGCTCCAGGAGGGGCTGGAGTGGTGACCAGGAGACTCTGCACATTGGTTTAGAACCATGGAGGTACTGTACACCCCAAAGACTGAACTGGTGGGTGTGCAAACTGAAAAAATAAAAATCAGAGTGTGATCAGTCAACTCACTATACAACTGGGATATCTGCATTTCACAGATGTGGATTTTACTGAAACTTTTTTTTTTTGTTTTGTTTTGAGATGGAGTCTTCCTCTGTCACCCAGGCTGGAGTGCAGTGGCACGATCTTGGCTCACTATAAGCTCCACCTCCCAGGTTCACACCATTCTCCTGCCTCAGCCTCCTGTGTAGCTGGGACTACAGGCGCCCACCACTGCACCTGGCTAATTTTTTGTATTTTTAGTAGAGACGGGGTTTCACCATGGTCTCGATCTCCTGACCTCGTGATCCACCTGCCTTGGCCTCCCAAAGTGCTGGGATTACAGGTGTGAGCCACCGCGCCTGGCCTGAAACATTTCTTAAACAACCAAGGTCCTGAAGAGCTTGTGACTTATCTGGTGAATCATCTGAACCTGAAACTGGATTTGTTGTTAGGGTTTGTAGGCAAAGTGAAACTAAAAGCGTCTGCACAAAACAAACGAAAGCCCCTTTTATCTCTTTCCTAGGCAGCAGGAATTATTCTACATCTTCCTGGTATATTTGGCATATAACCCCATGAGTATTCCCAGGCAGTGACGTTTCTGGGCCATATTCCCACGTTCGTGGGCGTGGGTGTCTGGTAGGGGCATCGTTGTTTCTTTCAAAGTCAGTATTTGTGACCCATCAGGATATAGTAGATAGGACTCCAGCTCACCGTTGGCATAAATCTCCAAGCAAGGGAGGTGGTCTCAAGGGGTCAAACTGAGACAAAGAAGTCAGGGCCCCAACTACTAGTGTCACCTGGGCCTGACCACCACTTTTCATAACAAGAAATGACACCCTCCTCCTGGGGCTGCCCCAAAGCCCAGGAGCTTGGTAGTGTCACATGCAGGACAGTGCTCTCAGGAAACATTTTGGACAAGTTGCTGAAGTGCCTGATGGACATGGCTCTTGTCAGAAAATAAATTTGCATCCTGAGGAAGCCTCTTCTTCAGAGGAAGCCTCCCCAGTCACCTCTGCCCTCTCCGATGACATGAGTCCTCCCAGGTGACCTCAGCCCTCCAGGAGATGTCCTTCCATGGTGACTCTGGATCTTGCAGGAGGTGGGCTACCGCAGGGACCTGAGCCACGCTGCTGCCTTGTTTCTCCTTTATGGGCCTGGGGAGGATGCATTCTGGGCACTGGCCCAGCTGTTGGCTTGTGAGAGGCACTCCCCACAGGGTAGGTGAACAGCTGCCCCCCGACCTCATGCAGCCAGACCCGGGGACAGCCACCCTAGCCAGATGATCTCGACTTTCAGCAAAGGTACCTTCCTTGTGTCACCAGCTTGTTGGGAGCCTTTAGGATGTCTCTGCTGAAGGTCCCACAGGAGACCATGGATGAATGGGGACCCCCAGACCCTGAGTCAGATGCCTTTCATCCCCATCAGCAGAGGGCATCTCATCCTCGCCGTGGCCGCCCTCTATGTCCTGGAGCCACGCTCTCCAGCTCGAATTCTATGCAGCTGACTCTCCCCTCCCTGAGAGTCCTCCTGGCCTCCAGCTGGCTGGGCTTCAGCTGCCCTTGGTTCCCACAGGTGGGCTGACAAAGCCCAGATGGCAGCACCTCCCCATCCCATGTCCCCTGGCCTGACCCCACTTCCAAGAGACAACCAGGGGTCCCAGCACCCACCTTGTTCTTTCTACTCTCTGTTGTGGCCTCAAAGTCAGGCCTGCCCTCCCGGCACCCTGGCCCAGGAGGCCTCCCGGAGCACCTCCAGCCAGGCTCCAGGGGATGTTCCCACCCCTTCTCCCCAGGGCCAAGGCCACATGGTGGGGTCACAGATGGGAGGGTGGGAGGCCTCGGGGTTCGGGGGCCTCTGCAGCTGCCCAGTTCTTCCAGCTGACAGCTCCACATCTTGGGAGCTGGCTCTGGTTTCATGATGGGCTGGGGGCGTCTCAGGATTCTACAGCCCAAATAGCACAAGGGTCCAGGGGCTACAAGACCACCAGGAACACGTGGTACCCACGTCATAACCCAAGACCACGAGGCACCCTGTGTGTTTATGGTCCCCTCGGCTCTTTCCCAGAGGCCCTGCATCCCGTAGGGCTGGCTAGAGACCCCCATGGGACTGATGAGAGGCTGAGTCCCAGCCAGGGCCTGACCTGGGATGTGGGGTTCTCCATGCGTTTGGAGTTGGGTTTCCTTTCCCGCCCTGGAGGAGACAGAGGCACAGGCACTGGGGCCCACCTCCTGCAGAGCAAGGCTAAGGGCAGTGTGTCCGCTGGGAGTGCGGGAAGGGGAAGGTGTCGTGTGGAGCCCTGGACACCATCCTGTGTTCTGCACTTGGGGAAGGGTCTTCAGAGGACCCTGGAAGAGGGAGGTTTGGTTTTTAGAGTAGCCCAGGGGGCCCTGAGCACTTCTGTTCCTCCCATCACGACAAGGAAGGGCCATGTGCGCAGGGTTCCTCATTAGGCTGGCTGCTCCAGAGCTTGATGGATGGGGCAAGGAGGCCCAGGGAGACCCTGGCTCAGGGACCCTCTTTGCCCTGCAGTGCCCTGCTCCCCGTGCCCAGGGGTCCGGCTCACCCCCAGCCCACAGGAGGCACAGACGGGGCCCTGTAGGACACACAAGCAAGGCCCCGTGCCCAAGAAGGGTCATCCCACGGCAGAGGTTGGGGCTCAGGCCCAGCCTCATGGGAAGACTGGGGCAGAACCCAACTTGGGAGAGCTCAGAAGCCTCAAGCCCTGGGGAGGTCCCTCTCTCCAGAAGCCATATCCCACTGAAATGAGTGCCCCTCATGAGGAGCTGCAAGACCCTGTCTGACCCAGCCTCCTGGAAGGGTCAGATGACCCTCATGGGGAGGGTCACTGACTCTGGGGACTGAAGTCCCAGTGGGCCCAGCTCGAGCCACCAGCCCCCAGCCTTGAAGGGCCAGGTCCTCCAGTGTCTGCTGTCCCCATAGATCTCTCTCAGGCTCAACCTGCACCTGTGGGATGTGTATTTGGTAGAAGGGGAACAGGTGTTGATGCCGATGGCATGCACTGCCTTTAAGGTTTAATGGAGTAAGTCCACGTGTGCCCAATGGCACTGGGGAGCACTGGGGTCAGACTCGGACTGGCCTGAGGGCAGCTTCCTCACACTGTCCCCATGATCCTCTGCTCTGGCCCAGGGGGAGGTCTGGCTGGGTGGGCTGGGCAGGGCACAGTGACACCAAGCCCACCCCCGACATGTTCCAGATGAAAGTCTGGAGTGTGGTGAGCACTTCCCTGCCCAGGCCACCCCCAGCCACAGCCTCCTATGCACATCTGGACCCCTGGGGTGGCCACAAAAGGATCTGGCACCTCCCAGTGGGAGACGGTTGAGGTGGCAATGAGGTATGGGCTCTGACCCTCCCAGGGAACTCTCCTGGCCTGATGCCCACCCTATCCCTAGAGGGCCTCATGAAGACATCCAGGTCTGGCCCATGGGCAGTTTTGGGGGCTGGTTCTCCCATACCTAGGCCCTGGATGAAGACGCAGCTCTCGGGCACCCTTGGGCCTCTACGAGGAAGCTAACAAGGAAGAATGGGGACCTGCCACCCCCAGATGGGCTTCCATACCAGGCCCCCTCCTGAGTCACCCTCTGGGGCAGTCAATAGTGGGGGAGCGCCCGGGACCCCCAAGCCTACTACCTGGGCCTTCCTCTTGTGCCTTTTCTTCCTCCTTTTCCTCCTGGACTCTAAGAAAGACAATAGGCCCCCGGTCCTCAGGGCAGGTGCTCAGTGCATGTGCACTGCACATGCTGTGCACGCAGGAGGGGGATGTGGGCAAGACCTCTCCAACAAGCCCCCTCCCACTTTCCACGGTGTCCCGCCCCCCCCCAACAGGGCCCTTGACGGCACTGGAGGAGCCAGACCCATTTGTGGGACCCCCCCCACCCCTCCCTGCAAGCACTGACAGCCTCAGAGAGCAGCAGAGGCCCCTCACTCCTGAACATCCCTCCAAGGGTGCCAGGACAACGAGCCTTGAGCCAGGGAGACAAGGGAGTCGGTGTCCCTGACCCCCAGAGCTTTCAGGGCAAGGGCACAGGTGGGACCCCTGGCCCAGAGCCAGAGCCAAGAGTTCAGCCAGGTGTGGGAATGGTCAGTCCTGGCATGGACCGGGCAGCCCAGGAGGGCAGAGGGGGCCCCGTATCTGGGCCCTCTTACTCATGGTAGAGACAGGTCCCCAAGTGAGGTAGCAAGGGGGCTGGGTGACAGCCAAGGCCCCTCCCACCTGAGTTCTGACTGGGGATCATATACCAGGCCCAACAGCCCTGGGATGAGGGCATGGGGCAGGAAGCCCCCAGCCAGCCTGAATCCTGGGGGGCAGTCCCAGGAGCCACCTGCTGTGCCCCGACAGCTTCCCTACCCCAGGTGACACACACCCCTCCCTCTGGGATCAGCAGCCTGCAGGTGTGTCCTCAGTGTCAGACCCCAGGGGCCACCGAGAGACCCTGAGGACTCCGGAGACCCAGGCAGGTGGGGCCCGGCCCAGAAAGGACTCTTTGGGCCCACTGGAGGTGCTGCCTGATCACGTCTGTTTTTCTTTCAGCCAAACCCAGGCAAGGGTCCTCAGCAGCCAGGGCTGTGCTGGCTTCACGTGGCAGGAAGGCCCTCTGCAAGGGGGATGGGCAGGTGCCCCCTGGCCCACCAGCCTGGTTCCAGCGGCCCATTTGGTCTGCTTCCCCACCATGGGTTCCTTGTCCTCTCACACCTGTCCTGGTGGGGCTTCCATGTGGCCAAGGCCCAGGGGCGTGAGGGGGCTTCTGGGGAGCCCAGGGCAGCAGGCCATTCTCTGGGGGACCCAGGACTTATGGTGTGCCCAGCCTGGCCTTGGCTCAAGGAGGACCTCGGGGTTCCTGGAGGTACCTGCAGCGGAACTCCATGTCCCGACTCCCAGTGGACTTGGATGTGGGGGGCCCTTGGTTCCATAATAATTTCAAACAGAGCTGCTGAGCTCATGTCCCTTCTGAATGTGTCCTGGACAGCCCTGGGACCATGGGGCAGGCTTAGCCCCGGAAGCCCATGGGGACCCCCATATCAGGCCCTGCCTAGGCCCATCAGGACTAAGAGGGAAGTTGGGAGATGCCCCCACAGCAGCATGGGCACCTGCATCTGGCCCCCTTGGTGGCCAATGACGGGCATGCCTAGAAGGAGCCAGGGTGGCACCCCACCAGCAATCCCAGACACCTTGGAAAATGCTGTTCAATGAGGAAGCCGGTCCCGTCAAGGCCATGAGAGAGAAAGGTGAGCATGGCATCCCTGCAGCCCAGCCAGCCAGTAGCATGCCCTGGGTCCTTGGTCCCAACCTGTGGAACAGTGTCCCCCTCCCAGGGCACAATTCGCAGGCCAAGAGGGGCCTGGCCTAGACCCCAGCCCTGGGAAGAGCGGGGAACCAGAGGTGTGGTGGGCTCCCAGCTGCAGTCAGCATGGCCATGCAGGGGGCCCTGGTACCACGGAGCTCTGCACTGTCACAATTCACCTCGCAGGGGCCGGCGAGATCCCGAAGCCTCGCAGCAACTGCTGCAGCCACAGCAGGCGCCACCACCACATGCCTTCCAGCCGCCAGTGCAGGGTTTCCCGACAGCAGGGTGTCCTGCAGCCCTCGCCTCAGCGGCTCAGACGCTGAAGGTATCTGTGGTTCATGTTTCTAGTGCTCCCACCAAAGAGAATCACTATGGAGGATGCTCTTGGTCCTGAGGTGAGCAAAACAGCACGCCCTGTGAATGGAGCCGGCTTCTTTCCTGGCCACCATGCTTGCTGGATGGGCCCACGGAGCAAGTGGCCTTGAGACGGGCATGGGAACGGAAGAGGCTCAGCATCCTGCACGTGCCCTTACCGAGGCTCACCAGGCTGACACCACTGCTGAGCGCCCCTCCGTGGATGAGACACTTGCACCCAGTCTCTGGGTTGGCACCATTTCCCAGGAGGACCAGCTGGCCACCTGCTGGCAGGCTAATCACACTGTGGAGGGGGCTGAGATTGGCTTTCACTGCACCAAGCCACAATGTGGACGTGGATTTGCCGGCCCTGCAGTGCACACAGCACTGCTTCTGACCAGGACACCCCATTCACAGCTGGGGATGTGCAGCATTGCGCTCCCACCTCAGGGCCTTGGCTCTGCCACCTCGACTTGGAATGTTCTCAGCTCCCTCCAGGCTTCTAGAAGCATCTGGGACACAGCTCATGGCTGGATAAGCACCCGAGGCCCCACAACCCAAACAAGCTTCCCATCCTCATTTTATTTTTTGTCAAACTTATGAAAATTTATTAAGATATGACTTACATCCCTGGTAAGTGCACAGCTTAAAAGATATTCACAGATGGAACACACCAGCCCCCAGATCACAAAGCCAACCATGCCCAGCCCCTCCCAACACCCCCAGCCCTGAAACCAGTGTTCTGACTTCTGACAGCACCACGAGCCTGCCTTTTGTACTTTACACTCATGGAAGCATAACCACCTTCATGTTTTAAAATAAATGTTTACTTTTGAAATGACTTTAGATACACAGAAAAATTGAAAGGCACTATAGTGTACTCCTACACCTTCCATCCAGCTGCCCTTAATAATGACATTTTGCATTACCATGGCACGTTTGTCCAAACTAAGAAATTTAGGCCGGGTGGGCTGGGCGCGGTGGCTCACGCCTGTAATCCCAGCACTTTGAGAGGCCGAGGCGGGCGGATCACAAGGTTAGATCGAGACCATCCTGGCTAACACGGTGAAACCTCGTCTCTACTAAAAATACAAAAATTAGCCGGGCGTGGTGGCAGGCGCCTGTAGTCCCAGCTACTCAAGAGGCTGAGGCAGGAGAATCGCTTGAACCCGGGAGGCAGAGGTTGCAGTGAGCCAATATCGTACCACTGCATTCCAGCCTGGGCGAGAATGAGACTCCGTCTCAAAAAACAAAACAAAACAAAACAAACCCCAAAAACAAAAAAGAAAATTAAGCTGGGTGTGGTGGCTCACACCTGTAATTCCAGCAATTCGAGAGGTCGAGGCAGGAGGTTCAGGTTCACTTGAGGCCAGGAGTTTGCGACTAGCCTGGGCGACATAGGTAGACTGTCTCTGGAGGAAAGTAAAAAGCATTAGCCAGGCATGGTGGCGTGAGCCTATAGTCCCATCTAGTCAGGAGGCCCAGGCGGGAGGATTGCACATGCCTGTAGTCCCAGCTACTATGGAGGCTGAGGCAGGAGAATCGCTTGAACCCGGAGGTCAGAGGTTGCAGTGAGCCGAGATCTCGCCACTGCACTCCAGCCTGGGCGACAGAGCAAGACTCCGTCCTAAAACAAAAAAAAGTTACAGTGCAAAGTACTAGTTGTGATGTCATGATGCCTGCAACTTTGAAATAGTTTAACGACAATACGTGTATACATAGCTACAGGTGGGGAGAGAGTGACGAGCAGAAATGGCAAAGTGCTAGGTTGTCTGATTTAGGCGGAGGTATATAGGTGTTCACTGCACTGTTTTCAACTGTTCCGTATGCGTTAAAATGATCGTAATACAATGTTAGAGGGAGAAAAAAAACCCCGCCTGTCTTCTGCGCAGTCGCCATGGGCACGAGCCGCACGCGGAGCCTTACGACCACCTTCAGGTCCCACACACTCCACTCCAGCCGTCCCTCCAGACTCCATCTGCGCATGCTCTTGCCCCACCGCGCCCGCCCCGCCCCTCGGGCGTACGTGTGCGCGCAGGGCGCAGGCGCGCGGGTCCCGGCAGCCCGTGAGACGCCCGCTGCTGGACGCGGGTAGCCGTCTGAGGTGCCGGAGCTGCGGGAGGATGGAGCCGCTGAAGGTGGAAAAGTTCGCAACCGCCAAGAGGGGAAACGGGCTGCGCGCCGTGACCCCGCTGCGCCCCGGAGAGCTACTCTTCCGCTCGGATCCCTTGGCGTACACGGTGTGCAAGGGGAGTCGTGGCGTCGTCTGCGACCGCTGCCTTCTCGGGTGCGTAAGGAGCGCCCTCGCCTACCTGAGTCGCGAGCTGTGTGGGGTGCTGGGGAGGGGGGGGCGTCGGGCGGCCGGCAGCCGCGGGACTCCTGCTGGATGGGGCTGCACAGGCAGCTTGGCGGTGCTGCCCCTGACGCGCGTGTGCCCGGGGGCGGGTCGCTGCTGACAGGCCCCGCCCGGACACCCCCCTAGGTTGCCGCAGCGGGGCTGGGAGGGGGCCCAGGCTCAGCCACTGCCCCCCAACCTGGGCTGCGGTGGAAATGGGAAAGCCATTGGGCAGACTTGAGGGGGAAGCGTTGTGCCGGGGATAATTTTGCTGGGAGACGAAAAGTCTGTGTGCTGGACAGTCTTCCTTGGTGCGGCTGTGGAAATCACACGTGGCGGGCGTGGGGCTGGGTGGGAGCTGGGATGAGTATAAATCAGGCTCCCCTGCAGAGGCCCCGCCGGTAAAGCATCAGGCTTGCAGCAGGTGGAAGAATCTTGATGTCTACGGTGCACCTCTGTGGTCTGGGTTGTGTGTGGCCTGGGGATACGAAGAGGAACGGGACCTCCTCAAAGAGCTGATCAAGTGAGAGAGAGAATTACAGTGTACCAGAAGGGCTGAAATAGAGGGGCAATTAATGTGCTGTGGGAGCATCAGACACGGGTCCCCCGTGTGCTGTGCCATTTAATGGCTGTGCAGGCATGTCTAACTCTTAACCACCATTCTAGATGCAGGGATTCACGTGAAGGTGTTTTGGAAGCCTGGACGCGCTGTGCCGGTGTAAAGTGCTATGTGAAAGCAATTTATGGAAATGTGTAACATACATGAATAATAGGAACTGCATTCAGTCAACAAATATTATTGAGCTTCTGTGTGCGAGGAAGAAGAGTTCTATTTTGAGATGAGTGCGATGATTTTGTGCATGGCCGCTTTTCAGACCTGCCAGTCTGAGATTTAGGTGGGTGGAGGTGGGACGGTAAGTGCAAAACTCGTATCTGTAATTTGACCATTGTTCTTACTTTGTTCTCATTTGATTCATAATTCAGGAATATGACTTTGCATTTTAGAGCTACCAAATAATAATTTTGTCTGTTGCTTTCTGAAGTAATGATAACAGCGAAAACATCTGTTCGGGAGAGAGCAGCATCTTGAAGTTTTTGTAAACTGTGTGGTTGAAAACAATTCGTTCCTTTCAAGATAGTTCTTGGAACAGAAAAGTTTTGGAATGAATAAATGGTGACAAATTGGCAATTGAATCATTAGAGCTGAAGTTGAGTCTTGTGACACACGGAATTGTGCATTTCCAAAATAAGCTACACAAACCCTTTGTGGGTGGGATGCTTGTTGATTTACCATACTATTTCATTAGTCTCATTCATTTTTCCTGTTTGCAGTAACTGGGGATTTAAGCAAAAAAGGAATTTAATGAAAGAGTTTTGGGGGAGTTCTCAGTGTTGCTTTAAAGTCTGCCAAGACTTGACTGGGCATCGGCTGAACCAAGTTAGGATTGCACTGCAAAAGTAGCTGGGGCTGGGATCTGGGGTGTATATCACTTCTGTCGCCTGATAATATTGGATTCTGCAGTAGGTACCACGAACACCATAGACACTGGACCCTGGTGCTGCTGCTGCTGCTGCTCCTTGGGAAACTCACTGTTGCTGGAGAGTGATTCTCTCAACCATTCTTCTTTGTGATACTGGCTTTTATTCAAAGTCCTCAGTGAGTGTCTTGGATTGGCTAAACTTAGGTCACTGCCTGCACCCCTAGCGCGAGGGAGGTTGAGACGGTATTTAGCCTTTTTGGCTTTTAAGATAGAAGGCAGGCTCACTCTACTTCCCACCGATAGTTATCCAGTGGGGAAATCAGCAAACATAAACATAGAAAAAGGGATATAAGTAAATGCTAAGCATCTAAACAAAACAAGCTAAACAGATTCTTCATAATGACTGACAAATACTTACTAGTATTTTACACAGACACAAAATATTTGCACTTACTTTGGATTGCCAGGATACACAGTTCACTTGTGTTGTGGTAGTAGTTGCTCTGTTTGAACACTCCCATTTTAGTGGTTATAGTGTTCCAAAGAGCCTGGTTGGGAATCACTGCAACCTGAAAATAGTGTTAGGGAAATGTTAGCGCATTGTTTGATGCAGTTTTCTGCCACTGTTGAATGCCTGTCCTTGAGGGATAAGTTTCTGTATTACTTGTCATCTTGTAAGTAAAATTTGTTTCTCTTTATTCACTGTCCATTGTGAAGTCTTTAAGAATAGTGCATCTTTCAGTTTTTGTAGCCCCAGTGTCTAACACATAGTAAGCCCTTAGTTTTAGTATGAATGTCTGGCAGAATTTTCCTCCTAACTGCCCCTGTCCTTCTGCTGCCTTCCATCTGAATTAAGTATGGAATGAAAATGTTAGTTTGTAGCAATTAACAGTTACATGGGAAAGGAAAAATCAAAATAGAATTAAAAAAACAGATATTGATGATAATTACAGTCATGCACTGCATAACGACATTTTGGTCAGCGAAAGACCAGATACATGACAGTGGCCCTGTATGATTATATCATTTTTTAACTGTACTTTTTCTGTGTTTAGGTACATTTAGATACACAAATACTTACCATTGTTTTACAGTTACCTACAGTATTCAGTACAGTAACACGCGGTGCAGGTTTATAGCCTCAGAGCAGTAGGCAGTACAGACAATACCTGCTAGCCTAGGTGTGTAGCAGGCTGTATGTACAGTCTGGGTTTGTGTGAGGATACACCATGATGTTCCTACAACAATGAAATCACCTCATGATGTCCTTAAGGGATGCACATCTCTACTTCCTTAGGCTCCAGAAACAATGGTTACCAAGTTTTACATGATTTCCTTTGCTCTAGAGCTGTTTTGATTAGTAGCTTTAGTTCTGTATACTTGTTTTTGTTAATGGAGAAAGGTGAACCTGCTTCATGGCTTATCTTACCTTTTTCCTCTCATTAAGGAATGGCTTCTGGTTTTTCCGTGTTGTGCCTGGAAAAGAAAATGAAGTATGTAAGTTGTAGAAAGAGTAAATGGCAATGAAATTATAACCTGAAATCACTTTTTTTTTTTTTTTTTTTTTTTTAAGATGGAGTTTTGCTCTTGTTGCCCAGGCTGGAGTGCAATGGTGTGATCTTGGCTCACCACAACCTCCGCCTCCCAGGTGCAAGCGATTCTCCTGCCTCAGCCTCCTTAATAGCTTGGATTACAGACCACGCCTGGCTAATTTTTGTATTTTTAGTAGAGATGGGGTTTCACCATGTTAGTCAGGCTGGTCTCAAACTCCTGACCTCAGGTGATCTACCCGCCTCAGCCTCCTTAAGTGCTGGGATTACAGGCGTGAGCCGCTGTCCCCGGCCTGAAATCACTTATATTGTCCTTCTGCCGTTGCATGCATTTTTAATTTGATGGAGGTAGAACAGGTTGGTTGACAATTGGGTATGAGTTATGTGTATTTCCCGTTTGCTTTGGTGAGTGCAGCACATAAAATTCCATTGTTATGATTGTATTTGTAAACCTTCTCACTCCCTAGTGTAGTGCTCTAAGTCTAATCTTTTTTATATCCCCAGGGCCTACCACATGGGAGATGTTAATCATTCAAGGATTAATATTTTGGGGAACTTGAAGTCGCTGTATGTTTGTCTTTGGTTTTCTCAAGTTCCAAGTTGCCTGCAGCTTCCATATCAAGAGTTACTTCTGGCAAACTCTAATGATAGTTTCTTCTGTAGGGTAAAGAGAATAGCTCATCTGGCATTAAGGCTGAGAATGAGGCTTAGTGCCTCCCAGGAGGAAGGAGGATGACTTGGAAGTAGACGTGTCATCCCTTTCAGTCCTGGTGGATTGTGGGCAGCGGGGGGACAGAGGTAGGGAAAACAGATTGTGAGAAATATGTGTTCTGATCTTTCTTGGCTGGCTAAAGTTCTAGGGTTAGGGTGGGGATGTTAAATGGGTTGAGGGGACGGTCAGCAGTAGAAGGCCTTTTGCTCTGCTCCTTATGTGGAATCTTGAGAGGAGATGTTATGCAGGTTAGTGATAGGCCAACACGGGCCTATAGCACAGCAGTGGTAGAAGGAAGTGGCTAGATAGTTGAGTTTGTGGTACCAGGGGATTCTGAAATGCTCTCATACCACTGTGAAGGAGGTGGAGGAGCTTATTGGCCTGGTGGAACAGCTGGCGTCATGACAAAAGACTGTGTGACTATAGACTGAATGTCAGGATCACAGACTCCAGGGATGAGAGCCAGCATGACATCCTAAAAGATGAGATGGGACCAGTTCAGCCATAGGACCTGATTACCTCCTTGCAGCAGAGACCAGTGAGGATCCAGAGAAACAACACAGATCCAAGGTCTTCTTGCCACTATTTCTTCTAGGATGTCCGATAAGACCTTGGAGGGAAATCTACCCGAAAGCAGCCATTTAAACCAGCCCGGGTAAGGAGTTAAACAAAGTCTGAGTATTAACTGGAAGAGATTGAGATATTGTTTGACAAGTTTTAAATTTCCTGGATATTTATTAGAGTAGATATTCATGAGGAATATTAGATTAATTATAGAAAAAATGGCGCATATTCAGGAGACAGATTAGATGAGTTATAGAAGATAAAGCAGGCTGGGCATGGTGGCTCATGCCTGTAGTCCCAGCACTTTGGGAGGTCGAGGCAGGTGGATCGCTTGAGCCCATAAGTTCAAGATGAGCCTGTGCGACATGGCAAAACCCTGTCTCTACTAAAAATACAAATAATTACCTGGGTGCATGCCTGTAGTCCCAGCTACTCAGAAGGCTGAGGTGGGAGAATCAATTGAGCCCAGGAGGTGGAGGTTGCAGTGAGTGGTGATCACGCCACTGCACTCCAGCCTGGGTGACAGAGTGAGACCCTGTCTCAAAAAAAAAGAAAAAAAAAAAGGCAGCTGCATTTGAGTTGCAGTGTGAGTAAATGTGACCAGGCAATAAAGGGTAATAACTCACTGTGTTTGGTGAGATGATGGAATGTCTCTTGGCCAAGGACTGAACCTGGGGTGGAGATGGAAGGGAACATCTTCATATATGAGGGTAAGAAGAAGAGGTGCCAGAAAAGGCAACAGCAGTGGTGATTGAAAAGTTTAAGGACCGCTAGGGAAGTGGTTGCTAAGTGACTCAGCCTTAGGAGAGATTGGAAATAGTCTTCTAGGAGAGAAGCATAAATTGCCTCGTGAAATGTAGGATTGTTGAAAAGTGCTGAGGGTCTACTTAAAACTTGTGTTTGTTTATTTAAAGTGGGAACAGTTAGTTGGGTCATGTTTCCTTTCTCTCCCAATTGCCAGCTGCTTGGCTATGAGAACTGGATTTACCTAGGATTGCTAGGTTAGCATGATGGACGGAGAGAGGGGACGGGAAGTTGAAGTTGTAGGCAAGGGAGGGTGTAATTGTGGATCATGGTTTCTCAGGTAGGGAATGAGGTCGTAAGGAAGGTGATGGCCAGTGAAATGTGGCCGAATCAATGGATTAGAGGTCCTCATGTGGTCAGAGAAATGGTGAGTGGTCAGATAATGGGTTGACTTGATATGTACATGCTTAGAAGTAGTGTGTGTCTTGATACAACAGGTACGGGGTGTGGCAGAATGTGGCCAAGGTAGGGAGTAAGAAAAGATTTTTGGTCAGGAAACCCAAAGGCTGAGGTTAGTTGAATTATCTAAATAATGAAGTTACTAAGAATGTTAGACATTGGCATGAATAGTTTCAGCAAAGGCAGAATTCTCACATTGGCTAAAATAACCCAAGGTTTAAGGGTCAGTAGAGTAGAAGAGGCTAGTGGAGACAAGGAAGCACTTACCTCTGTGAAAATAATGTAAAAAGACGTTACTGGGTTTACGGCTGATTTTGTAAAATATGGTTAGCACCAGGCGTAAGTGAATTGCTGCAGTGTTACAGACTCTTCCTTGGAGGCCCTGAAGGTCAAGCAACTAGCAAAATCATTTCAAAGAGCAGAACCTTGAACGATGGCTTGAAGTAGGATTTGCAACTTCCTGGGCAGTGGCTAATGGGTCTAGGATTTGAAATAAGGTGGAAGAATTGATAATAATGTGGTTTGGGAAAGGACTTTATGGATGTGACTACATTTTTCTTTTTAAGTGGGAGTCATAATTCCTGTTTCTTCTACTGCTTCCTTTTCTTCTGTAACGAGGTTTGGGAAAGGGCTTTATGGCTGAGCCCTGGTGAAAACATTTGGTCCATGTGAATGCCACAGCAGAGGGCGTTCTTAATCAGACAGGATGACCTGCTTTGTGGATAGCAGTAAGTTGTTCTTCAGACAGCCTGGTGCTTGCTCAAAAGGCTCAAGAACAGAGCAACCATGGGGACGGGGATAGAGGCTGGTGCCTGGAACTCAACAATACAGACTTCCCCTCATGATAGCCATGTGGCTTCTGCTGGTACAGAGTGCCCAGTTTGCTGCCAGTAGTAACTGGTCCTGATTCCCCAAATGGCAACACATCTTCAGGACCAGCCAGCCACCTTGTGTCGGGTTATTATGGTAGAACTTTTTGTCATGGAGGAGTCAGTTGGAATATCAATTTTTTTCCTGTACTTGGATTTGTCTTCCCTGTGTGTAATACCACCATCTCTAAGATCCACTGAGAATCTTTGATAGAGCTGTGATATTCCCCACAAGGTTGCCTCTGACCTTCCCAGAAAGAATTAGAGCAATGGGCTAATGCTTGTGGTTTTGACTGTTTATGTTTGCCGATTTCCTCATTGGAAGACTATTGGTGGGATGTAGACCAAGTCTGCCTTCTATCGAAAAAGCCAAAAAGGCTAAATACCTTCTCAACCTCCCTTGCAGCTAGGGTGCGGGCAGTGACCTAAGTTCGGTCAATCTAAGATGCTCTCTGAGGACTTTGAATAAAAGCCAGTATCACAAAGAAGAATGGTTGAGAGAATCACTCTCCAGCAACAACCAGTTTCCCAAGGAGCAGCAGCAGCAGCAGGGCCCAGTGTCTGTGGTGATGGTAGTGCAGAATCCAGCATTATCAGGCAACAGAAGCGATACAGTCCCCAGCCCCAGCCCCTGCTCTTAACATACTCTGGCATTTAAGGCAGCTGGTGTTATAGACCAGTGGTTCTCAGACCTTTTAGTCTCAGGACCCCTTTATCCTTTTACAAATTATCAAAATGGATTTGATAGGGATTTAAAAAACGTTATTGAGAGTGCTGATGATGTTTTGTTTATGTGGGTTTTATCTATTTATATTTATTGCATAAAAATTAAAACTAAGTTTTGAAAATACCTATTTAAACATAAATTTAAGGCAGGGCGTGGTGGCTCACACCTGTAATTCCAGCACTTTGGGAGGCCGAGGTGGGCAGATCACATGAGCCCAGGAGTTTGAGACCAGCCTGGCCAACGTAGCGAAACCCCGTCTCTACTAAAAATACAAAAATTAGCCAGATGTGGTGGTGCATGCCTGTAATCAAGCTACTTTGGAGGCTGAGGCAGGAGAATCGCTTGCACCTGGGAGGTGGAGGCTGCAGTGAGCTGAGACTGCGCCACTGCACTCCAGCCTGGGTGACACAGTGAGACCCTGCCTCCAAAAAATACCCAACAACAACAAAACAACAATAACAAAAATATATATATGTGTGTGTGTGTGTGTGTGTGTGTATATTTGATGGTTTGGTTACTTAAAAAATTGTTACATATATGTAAATTTATTATGTTGTAACAATTTTTTAAGGAATCAAACTATATTTTCTTTTTTTGAGATAGAGTCTCGCTTTGTTGCCCAGGCTGGAGTGCAGTGGTACAATCTCGGCTCACTGCAACCTCTGCCTCCTGGGTTCAAGCGATTGTCCTGCCTCAGTCCCCCGAATAGCTGGGACTATAGGCCCGTGTGTATTTTTTAAAACAACGAAAATTTAATGAGAATTGCATTGCTTTACATTTTTTTCATGTCTCTCTAAAGTCTGGCTTAATCAAGTGGTGGCTTACACCTGTAATCCCAGTGCTTTGTTAGGACGAGGTGGGAGGATCATTTGAGGCCAGGAGCTCACAACCACCTTGGGCAACATAGGGAAACTTCATCTTGTTAAAAAAAAAAACAAAAAATTATCTGGGTGGGATGGTGTGCACCCTTGTAATCACAGTTACTTGGGAGGCTGAGGTGGGAGGATCACTTGAGCCTAGGAGGTCAAGGCTGCAGTGAGCCATGATCGTGCCACTGGACTCCAGCCTGGGGGGTATAAGCATTCAGACCGTAGCGTCTGGTTCATCTTATATTTTTTCTTTTTAAGATAAGCAAGTATATATGTGTGTTCTTTTTTTTTTTTTTTTTTGAGACGGAGTCTTGCTCTGTTGCCCAGGCTAAAGTGCAGTGGTGCGATCTCGGCTCACTGCCAGCTCCGTCTCCCAGGTTCACACTATTCTCCTGCCTCAGCCTCCCGAGTAGCTGGGACTACAGGCACCCGCCATCACGCCTGGCTAATTTTTTGTATTTTTAGTAGAGACAGGGTTTCACCATTAGCCAGGATGGTCTCGATCTCCTGACCTCGTGATCCACCCGCCTCGGCCTCCCAAAGTGCTGGGATTACAGGCGTGAGCCACTGTGCCCGGCCTATATGTGTGTTCTTATTTTCCATTCTTAGTTTTGCACTTGCTTCATTATCTTTGTGTCTACTGGAAATCACTCTACTATCAGTTCATGGAGATCTTCCTTATTCGTTATAGCTCCATAATGCTCAATTTTATGTATCCACTGTACTTTCTAATTTCCTATGTGTGGATATTTAGGCAATTTCCAGTATTTTGCAATTGTGCATATTGCTCTAATGAATAACCTTGCATGTGTGTATTTTTATATTGTTGCTGGTGTATCTTCAGGGTAGATTCCTCAAAATGGGATTTCTGGGTCAAGGTGTAAATACCTATGTGGGGTTGTACCATTTTGCATTCCCACTAATGATGTATGTGAGTACTTGTTTCCCTTAGCTTTGCAGCCTGAACTTTTGAATTTTTGCTAAGCTTATGGGTGAGAAGTGGGATCTTAGTATAGTTTTAATTTGCATTTAAATTGCATTATGGGTGAAGTTAAACATCTTTTCATGTGTTTAAAGGCCATATTTATATCTTTTTGTGATTTGTCTGTATTTATCTTTTGCTCATTTTTCTTGTTTTTTCCTTTTCTTTTTTTTTTTCCTCTAGAGACTGGGGTCTCCCTGTGTTACCCAGGCTGTAATGCAGTGGTTTGATCATAGGTCACTGCAGCCTTGAATTCCTGGGCTCAAGTGATCCTCCCTCCTCAGCCTCCAGAATTTTCTGAGCAGCTGAGACCACAGGCGTGCAACATCATACCCAGCTAATTAAAAGAAAATTTTTTTTTAGAGATGAGATCTCCCTAGGAGGCTGTCCTCCCACTCACTTTGAGATTCTTTTGGGGGTTCTCTGATTTGATTTTACATTTAACTGTATATGCTACCATCTGTAGCACCTCGTAGATCAAGTTTCAGATGATTTTCCATTTCTATCTGGGAGTTCCCCATTATCTCTTAATCAGATGTGATGCTCCCTCTGGTGGACAATGGAGTAAAAAGCATACAAATATTTTTCAGAAAGGCAACTTATTTTTTAGCCACTAAAACACTGTCTCTGAGTGGTCTCCTTCATGAACCCCCTTTCCAA
This sequence comes from Homo sapiens, assembly GCF_000001405.40. Lineage (NCBI taxonomy): Eukaryota > Metazoa > Chordata > Mammalia > Primates > Hominidae > Homo > Homo sapiens. The sequence continues at coordinate 246,497,388 of NC_000001.11, read as the reverse complement.
ACTGTTCTTAGCCTCTGACATTTGCCATTAACTCTTATTTTGAATTAGACCAAAAAAGGGCAAACAAGTTAAATTTTGTCATAAATATCTATATAAAACTCACTAATGAAATTTACATGGTATAGTGGCTTATTGATGATGACCATGTTTTTCACAATAAGAGTCGAAACCTATGTTTGAAACTAGTAGTTTTACTTGGAGTTGGTATGATCTGGAGGGAAAATTGTGCTTGTTGATCTCCTTACAGTTTATTACTACAAGAAGATTCTGTGTAAATGAGTTTTTCCCCTAGTTTTTGACATAATAATTACTTGTTAGTATAGAAAAAATAAAGGCCACTTGTGGGATAACCTTGTGTTTTATATCTCATTCTACTATTTGAAAAGTGAAAATGGACAGAGCCATTACTAGTTGTTTAAATATAGTACAATCAAGAATGTTTCCTTTTTAAAGTTTACTTGTTGCCAGTTTACTGTTTTATACACGGCCTATTCATGTTTAGTTTTAAACATTTAAAAGCATTTATAACAGTAGGCTAATATTGATCTTTTTGTTTGTTTGTTTGAGACAGAGTCTCACTCTGTCACCCAGGCTGGAGTGCAGTGGTGTGCTCCTGGCTCACTGCAGCCTCAACCTCCTGGCTGAAGTCATCCTCCTACCTCAGCCTTGAGTAGCTGGGACCACAGGCATGCACCACCATGCCCGGCTAATTTTTATATTTTTTGTAGAGATGGGGTTTCACCATGTTGCCCAGCCTGGTCTTGAACTCCTGGGCTCAAGCAATTCACCTGCATCGGCCTCCCAAAGTGCTGGGACTACAGGCATGAGCTACCGCATCTGGCCAATACTGATTTTTAAAATTCATTACTTGGGTTGAGAATTATAATGTAAGCAAGTCCTCTTTTTGTTGTTCTTATAGCATTTGCAGCAAAAATAAATAAGAGCAACCACAAGGGGATAAGATAGATTGATAGACTGGGCAGATTTGAATATATAAAAGTTAAAAACATCCTTATGTTAATGAACCATCTTATAATGAAAAAAATCAAGAAACTGGCCAGGCGTGGTGGCTCACGCCTGTAATCCCAGCACCTTGGGAGGCTGAGACGGGCAGATCACGAGGTCAAGAGATAGAGACCATCCTGGCCAACATGGTGAAATCCCATCTCTACTAAAAATACAAAATTAGCCGGGCGTGGTGGTGTGCGCCTGTAATCCCAACCACTTGGGAGGCTGAGGCAGGAGAATCGCTTGAACCCGGGAGGCAGAGGTTACGGGGAGTTGAGATCATGCCACTGCACTCCAGCCTGGCGACAGAGTGAGACTCCATATCAAAACAATAACAACAACAACAACAAAAAATCAAGAAACTGACGAAAATATTTCAACATAAAAAGGAATATTATTATTATTATTATTATTTTTTGAGGTGAAGTCTCACTGTCACCCAGGCTGGAGTACAGTGGCATGATCTGAGCTCACTGCAGCCTTCGCCTCCCAGGTTCAAGCAATTCTGCCACCTAAGCCGCCTACCTCCGCCCTCTGAGTAGCTGGGACCACAGATGCGTGCCACCACCCCTGGCTAATTTTTTTTTTTTATTTGGTATTTTTGGTAGAGATGGGGTTTTGCCATTTACTCAGGCTGGTCTTGATCTCCTGAGCTCAAGTGATCCCCCTGCCTTGGCCTCCCAAAGTGCTGGGATTACAGGTGTGAGTCACTCGCATGGCCAAAAAGTGTATATTTGTAATATGTAAAAATTGTTCATAAACTGATAAGAGAAAGCAACTTACTTCTGAAGTAACTAACTAGTTCTTGGGACTTTTTCCCTCTTTGTGTTTGTCTTTGAACAGCTCTCATCTTTAGATTTCCTTTGAGAAATTCCCTTGTAACTCGTTGGTTCTCGACATTGGCTACACATTGAAAGCACTCGGGGAGATTTAAGAAATGCTGGTGCATGGGTCCTGCCCTCAGAGATTCTCATTTAATTTGTCTGGAGTGTGGCTGGAGCATAGACCTTTTTTTTTTTTTTTTTTTTTTTTGAGACGGAGTCTTGCTCTGTCACCCAGGCTGGAGTGCAGTGGCATGATCTCGGCTCACAGCAAGCTCCGCCTCCCGGGTTCATGCCATTCTCCTGCCTCAGCCTCCCGAGTAGCTGGGACTACAGGCGCCCGCCACCACGCCTGGCTAATTTTTTGTATTTTTAGTAGAGATGGGGTTTCACCGTGTTAGCCAGGATGGTCTCGATCTCCTGACCTCGTGATCCACCCGCCTTGGCCTCCCAAAGTGCTGGGATTACAGGCGTGAGCCACCGCGCCCGGCAGAGCATAGACATTTTTAATACTCCCCAGATTATTATAGAGCAGTCTGGGTTGACAGCTCCTATCTTTCTTTTCCATCTTCACTGACTCCCTGCTTCTCTGTGCCTTTATATCCAAGGGCTAAGGTAAAATTGCCACAGCTGGGATTAGTCCAACTGCTTATAATATCTATAAATAATTCTGCATGTTCAGTTTTAAACTGGACATTGACATTAGCATGTTCTGTTTACATTTAAATAATTGTCATAGGTAGGACAAACAGGAATTATGTTGAATTTTTAATTGGCATGGTTATGATAGATGTTTCTCACAAATGAATTTGAGTATATAAAAATTTAATCCTTGTTAGCATTTTTTAGCTGCTGTGTTTACGTCTTGTTAGAAAGTAGATGTTAATTGGAAAGATTTATGTTGTACCAATGATCAAGAAACCTTGGGTAGTAGGTAACAGTTTCTCTGGGCAGTTTAATTTTTGAGTTTTTGACTCTAATATTGGATGCTCAGTTTTAGTGGTGAAAACTTAAGCATCTTACAAAAAGACTTACTTAAAATCTATGAATCATTGGTATTTTACACATTTACCTGTGGAATTTAAAAATATCCAGATGTCTGAGCAACATCCTTAAGGGTCCCATAATTGTTTAAAGCTTCACAGGTAATGCTAATGCATAGCCAGAGTTGAGAACCTTTGGGAAAGGAATAAAAAAAAAGTCATGATACCAGTGAAATAAGTGGTAGAGATAACAACTATGGAGGAATAACTAATTGGGAAATGTGCATACATTGTTTAGTAGACCATTATGACTGCAGCGAAGTGCTGTTTGTATAGATGATAGATTATAAGTTGGGATAGCGTCTGTGATACAGAAGGCCTTGCTGAGGTTAAGAGATTTTGAACTTTATTTTCTAGGTACAACTCTTGAGGAGCCCATAGAGATTTTTGGGCTGCAGTATGAGGTGCACATGGAAGATTTGTGTAGGAGTCCTGATTTGGGTGAATTTTGTGATGAGGGAGAGAAGTGGAAAGACTGGAGATGAGGATTCCAGTTAGGAGAAAATGTGCGTTATTCTAGATGTGAAGTGATGAAGGCCTGAGCTAGGGGACTGGTAGAGGGCCTGGAACCAAACATGTTGAGGAGTTCACCCACGTTGTTGACCGATTAAAGGGCAAGGAAGCAGTGAAGGGTGAGTGCTGGGTTTTGAGCTAGAACTATTGGAATAGTGGTGACAGTACTGCTCTGTGGTGAAGGGTGAGTGCTGGGTTTTGAGCTGGAACTATTGGAATAGTGGTGACAGTACTGCTCTGTGGTGAAGGGTGAGTGCTGGGTTTTGAGCTGGAACTATTGGAATAGTGGTGACAGTAGTGCTCTGTGGTGAAGGGTGAGTGCTGGGTTTTGAACTATTGGAATAGTGGTGATACTACTGCTCTGTGAAGTCATTGGTGTGAGTGTGATCTCCCAGTAGTAAGTTAGGCAGCAAAAGATAGCATTGCTGAGGATCAAGCTTAAGAGAAAAAGCTTCTCAGGATTGGGAGACCATAGAAGACCTCCATAAATGGGTTAATAGTGCCCCTTTTTGGCCTAGTTTTTACTGCCTGGGTAAGTAGGGTAAGTAAGTTAATCTGAGTCTCAGTTTTGCCTTTTTGAAATGAAGGTATTGAGTGATTTCTGACATCCTTTTTAAGTTTTCTGCAGTTTTAGAAACCATTTATGTATTTGCTACAGCTGCCTCCTCCTACTCCTCTTTCTTTTTATTTATTTATTTTTTCAGAGAGACAAGGTCTCACTATGTTGTCCAGGCTGGCCTCAAACTCCTGGCCTCAAGTGATCCTCCTACCTCAGCCCCCCTCTCCTCCCCCCCAGTAGCTAGGACTACAGACCAATGTGCCTGGCCACCTCCTCCTTTTTTTGTAACAGCTTTATTGAGATATAACTCATATACCATACCATTTGCCTATTTAAAGTGATATAAAGTAACATTAACTTTACCCTTTTATTTATTTAAGTGTACCCTTCGGTGGCATTAAGTACATACTAATATCACCATAATCAACTTTAGAAAATTCTTATCACCCACAAAAGAAACAATGTACCTTAAGGCTGTCTTCCACTGTAATTAAACAGAGGAAAACATAAGGATTAAACCCTTGAATTGAGGCTTTACCATGTACCTGCCTTGTGAATTTACAGGGCCAGTTAGAAATCCCTTCCAGTTCAAACCGGCTCCTTGCAGTGCTGACCCACGAGGTGGCAGTGTGGGAACACTAGGAAGGAAAAGGGCTGGAGGAATCCACCTCTATATTTAGAAACAGGCTGTACACAGTTAACATCTATTTGTAGTGGTACATGTAGTTGTTATCCAGGCATCCTCAGAGGATCATAGATTGAAAGTCTCCTAGCTGAAGATTTTGCTAATGCAGAGTAGTGGCCTTACTTGTTGGTCATGTTTCCTAGTCATCTAAACCTGTGTTAACCTTCTTGCCTGGTTTCTATCGTTTGTTAAATAGTGACTCTTTCATCATTTAAATGACTCTTGCTGTGTCTGGGAATCGTCTGTCTAGTCTTTCAGCCATTTTTTGTTTCTCGCTTACCTTTTTGCCCCAGTACTTTCTTGGGTCCCTTTCTACCCTATCCATCGTTTGTCCTTTTTCCTCCTAGTCAGGAGCCATCGGCGTTCTCTGAGATACCGGTTCTTAGCTTTAGCTGCACACTGGAATCACCTGGGGAGCTTGGAAAAATCCTGATGCCTAGGCTACACTCAGTACTGATCGAATCAGAGCCTTTGGAGGTGGGACGCAGGCATCATTATTTTTTAATCTCTAATTACCTACTAAATATTTTTCTGTCATCATCTTTTATTCAGTCTGAAAAACATGGACTAATTTAACTAGATTAAATAAAAATATAGATTTTAAATATTATAGATTAGATTTATAATATTTCAGTTGGATGCTATCCACTCAAGCGATGTATGAGTCTCAACTTTTTCTCTTGAATTGCCTACTAACAGTTTTTTTTATTCTTACTTGGAAATGTCACTTATATTGCTTTCTTTCTTCTATTCCTACTGCCACCATCCTAGAACAGGCTCTAGCTTTAGTTCCTGCCGTCCAGCCAGGGAGCACATCGGTAGTTGAACAGAGTTGCGTTCAGACATGATTACAGAGTGGTCTTGTTTTCGTTTTGATCCATCACGGTCACAGAGTGGCCTTGTCTGAGGTCCATGTTCTGTGAAATTGTGTATGTTCAACAGAAGGACACCAGTGCCTCCCTGTGAGGGCCTGGCCAGCTTGGAGCAACACCTGCCTACCTGATAGTATCGGTCAGTTCCTGCAGCTCCTCTCTAGAGGACCGATGGTATCAGCCAGGGGCAGCTCCTCTCTAGAGCTGTGTCTTAGTTGATTATATCTGTTTGCAGATCCTCCCTACTGCAATCTGTTCTATGAAGTGTTGCCATATTAGTAGTCTTCCTTAAATATGCCTTTAATGACTGATTCTTATTTCTCTCTCTTTTTTTTTTTTTTTTATTTGAGACGAAGTTTCGCTCTTGTTGCCGAGGCTGGAGTGCAATGGTGCGATCTCGGCTCACTGCCACCTCCACCTCCTGGGTTCAAGCGATTCTCCTGCTTCAGCCTCCCCGCTAGCTGGAATTACCGGTGTCCGCTACCATGCTTAGCTAATTTTTTTGTATTTTTAGTACAGACGGAGTTTTGCCATGTTGGCCAGGCTGGTCTTGAACTCCTGACCTTAGGTAATATGCCTGCCTCGGCCTCCCAGAGTGCTGGGATTACAGGCGTGATCCACCGCGCCCGGCTGACAGATTCTTATTTCATCAAGCATAACTAGTGGTCCTTTCTAATCTGGCCCAACTCTGGCCAGCTTTATTTCCCAGTGTATCCTGTGTTTTAGTCTGACTGGTCTCAGTGCCTTGTGAACCGGTCATACTTACTCTCACTTTGGTGCTTTCCCTTGTCTTATCCTCTTTATGAGTTATGTGAGTTGGGGCAAACTACTTAACAGCTCTGAACTTTGTTTTCTTAATCTTGAACCCTGCCTCTTCAGATTATCCTCAGAATTAAAAGAGATAAAACATGTGGAAGTATTTTGTGTATAACAGGTACTCATACTTAATACGTGTTCTTTCCTTGCTCTACTTAGTTCTCATTGATTGATCTTTTTAAAAGACCATTTATTTATTTAATTTGAGACAGGGTCTCACTCTGTTGCCCAGGCTGGGGTGCAGTGGCATGATCATGGCTCACTGCAGCCTTGACTTCCCAGACTCAAACGATCCTCCCACCTCAGCCTCCAGAATAGCTGGGAACACAGGTGCCTGCCACTATACCTGGCTAATTTTTTAATTGTTTGTAGAAACAGAGTCTCACTGTGTTGCCCAGACTGATCTCCTGGGCTCAAGCAGTCCTCTCCCCTTGGCCTCCCAAAGTGCTGGGAGTATAGGTGTGAGCCATTGAGTCCAGCCCTCAGCGATTGGTCGGTGGAATTTAGGTATTATTATATAATTTAGGTCTTAATTTGGTTATTAGGTTTTATTAGTTATTTGCCCTGTGGTCTTAGCCTTCTTGAGGACGGAGACCTTGTCTTATTTTTCTGTGAATCCCAAGACCCTAGTTCATTGCTAAGTACACAAGGATGTTCAATAAATGTCTCAGTGACTGAAATTTGCAGGATTATCAGAGCACTCTGTCTGCAGATAACATCTGAGACATTTTCTGAGTATTTTTTGAAACTGACTCCTTCTCTTGATTATTATTACCACTCTTAGTTGGTACTACTGATTATGGAAGCTAGTAAGATTAGGGTCACTGGCTGAATTATTAGTATCAAATCTATAATTCTGTGTAGTCACCAGAAATAGTATGTCACAGCGAATGTTTATAGGTGGTTATTTAATTCATCTATGAAAATGACTTAAGTCAGGCACAGTGGCTCACGCCTATACTGCCAGCACTTTGGGAGGTCAAGGTGAGATCACTTGAGCCCAGAAGCTCCAGACCAGCTTAGGCAACACAGCGGGACCCTGTCCTGACAAAAAAAAAAAAAAAAAAAAAGGAAAAAATTAGCAAGGTGCGGTGGTCGTACTTCTAGTCCCAGGTAGTTGGGAGGCTGAGGCAGGAGGATCACTTGAGCCTGGGGGGTTGAGGCTGCTATGAGCTGTGATTTTGTCACTCCACTGGGTGACAGAGCGAGACTCTGTCTCAAAAAAAATAAAGACTTCAAGCTCAAATAATGCAAATTTTAAGCATAAATAACTTCATACAGTGTACTTTCAGCCTCTACCTTGGCTTACGTACAGCCTACTACAAACAGCTGAGTTGCATTTTAAATATTTAAACAGTTATTTATAACTTTCAATATTGGCCTTCCACATCTCTCTCTCTCTCTGAATGACACAAGATATTGAAGCTTTCTGATCTATTGATACTTTTGTTTTTAATGATGTTTTAGAATGTCAGCTTCTTTATTTAGAATACTTTGAAATCGCTGTCGAATAGAGCAAATTTCCTTTCTGTCCTTTTTCTTTCTCCTTAGTTGTTTAACCTTCTGCCTCTTAAACCCTGGGCTTCTGTTTTCTCATTCATAAAATAGGGAAATAGCTACCTCGTGATCTTCATGAGGAGTAAATGAGACAACACACACAAAAGTACTAGGATAGTACCTGAAATATTGCATTGCTTCTTTTTCTTTTATTATTTTTTTTGAGATGGAGTCTCGCTCTGTCGCCCAGGCTGGAGTGCAGTGGCATGATCTCGGCTCACTGCAACCTCAGCCTCCGCCTCCCGGGTTCACGCCATTCTCCTGCCTCAGCCTCCTGAGTAGCTGGGACTACAGGCGCCCGCCACCACGCCCGGCTAATTTTTTGTATTTTTAGTAGAGACGGGGTGTCACCATGTTAGCCAGGATGATCTCAATCTCTTGACCTCGTGATCCGCCCGCCTCGGCCTCCCACAGTGCTGGGATTACAGGTGTGAACCACCGCGCCCGGCCTGCATTGCTTCTTCAGAAGTGACCTACCATTCACCTCCCTCAGAATGACTGGGGAGTGGGAGGTGGAGAGAGAGAGAGAGGACTTGTTAAAAATCTGGCTCTCAGTGCCTCTCCGGAGAATATCTAGTGTTTTAAGGCACAGAATCTACATTCTTGCCAAGCTCCCTGGGTGACGCTGGTACTCATAAAATTTTGATACCTGTTTACCTACAGGATGGAGACGCATTCCTTTTGCAATCTGTCTTCTGTCTACTTTATTGGTCTTATTGGCACTAAAGTTTGAGGACACTAGGGCTAAATCCATAGTAGTTTTATATGAATATTTGCAGCAGTTGTAAATAACAGCCTGCTTAAAATCTCTATTTTTATTTTTTCTTTTGAGACGGAGTCTCACTGTGTCACCCAAGCTGGAGTGCAGTGGTGCGATCTCGGCACACTGCAACCTCTGCCTCCTGGGTTCAAGCTATTCTCCTGCCTCAGATTCCCCAGTACCTGAGACTATAGGCATGCACCACCACACCTGGCTAATTTTGTATTTTTAGTGGAGACAGGGTTTCACCAGGTTGTCAGGGCTGGTCTTGAACTCCAGACCTCAGGTGATCTGCCCGCCTCGGCCTCCCAAAGTGGGATTACAGGCATGAGCCACCACGCCCAGCCTAAATCTCTGTTATTTTTTTCTGTGCTTAGCTTGGACTTTTTCTGAGCACCCTTCACTTTCTTCTGTTTTTGCTTTTTGACTGAATTTCTTGAACTTGACCTTTCTGTATCAGAGATCTATAGTAATACCTTTCTTCTGTTAGTTTCAGTCAAGATGTACAAGTCAAGCTGGCAGATGATTCTAGAAGTCTATTTTAAAATGCCCAGACTTCTTTTTAATGAAATTACCTGTGTAATAACTACCTTTAATATAATAATTTTTCGGTCACAGATCAAATACATGGATTTAATTGTAGTTTGGAGCCCAACTTTTAATGAGCAGGATTTAATGAATGAGGCACTTGTGGAAGATCAGTTTATTACGAGGTCACATGATTCATGTGGCCACCATGCATAGGAAATGCTAAAAGGGAGGGCCAGGCGTGGTGGCTCACACCTGTAATCCCAGCACTTTGGGAGGCTGAGGCATGCAGATCACCTGAGGTTGGGAGTTCGAGACCAGCCTGACAAACATGGAGGAACCCTGTCTCTACTAAAAATACAAAATTAGCCGGGCTTGGTGGTGCATGCCTGTAATCCCAGCTACTGGGGAGGCTGAAGCAGGAGAATCACTTGAACCCAGGAGGCAGAGGTTGTGGTGAGCTGAGGTCGCGTCATTGCACTCCAGCCTGGGCAACAAGAGTGAAACTCCATCTCAAAAAAAAAAAAAAAAGATCTGAGTGGAGCCTAAGTTAGACACTGGGCATGGTTTTCTGCAGTAGGGTGAAATTGCTTGTAACTATTTTTCTTGTATTTTGAGACTTCTGTTTTTTTACATTTTCTTTCTATAGATGAACACATTCTTTGATTGTCTCCTGGTTGTTTAGGGTGGTGCTCACTCTTTCAGGTACTCAGAACATTGTATCTTTTATCACATTTACCACCTTGTATTTTAACTTTTTTTTTTTCCAGACAGAGTCTTGCTCTGTTGCCCAGGCTGGAGTGCAGTGGTGCAATCTCGGCTCACTGCAACCTCCACCTCCTGGGTTCAAGTGATTCTCTTGCCTTAGCCTCCTGAGTAGCTGGGACGAGTAGCTGGGATTACAGGTGCGCACCACCATGCCTGGCTAATTTTTGTATTTTAAGTAGAGATGGGGTTTGGCTATATTGGCCAGGCTGGTTTCAAACTCCTGGCTTCAAGTGATCCACTCGCTTGGCCTCCCAGAGTGCTGGGATTACAGGCGTGAGCTACCATGCCCAACCATATTTCAACTATT